>NC_000010.11:4403939-4555454 GCF_000001405.40 Homo sapiens | reverse complement strand
CTCCCAACTATGAGGTGGATGTTCTCACAAATAACCCTTCAATATAATATAAAAGAAAAGAAAAAAATGTGACACATTTGTGCATAGGCTATGTTAGGCATGCAAATTATTTTAAGAGTCACCACTTGTAATTTGGCCATAAATTTTCAATAAACATTTACTTGTACCAATTTATTTCACTATACATTGTTTCTATCATCCTAAAATGTTTTTATTCTCATTTTCATGAAAGTATATGTATGTGTTTCTGTGTGTATATACACACACCTATATAAAGTATAAGATCTCATTGTAATACGATGATATTTTAAGGGAATATTACTAAGCCTGGGCAAATACATTCTGTTGTTTTGTTCAAAACAAACCTGGTATTTATCAGGTTACAATATTCCTTATCTATTTATTTATTTAATTGAGAAAAGTTAAATATCAAAAATTAAAGTATCATGTGTACAACATTATATACACACACATTGTGGAATGGCCAAATCAAGCTAAATAACATGTGTATTATCTTTGTGTGGTAACAACACTCAAAAGCTACTCTCTTAGCAATTTTCAAGTTCACAATAAAGTATTATTAACTACAGTCATCGTGGTATACAATGGATCTCTTGAATTTTTTCCTCCTGTCTAACTGAAATTTTTAATCTTTTGACCAACATCTTCACAATCATCTCCAACATTCTTTTTTAAATATTTGAAATTAGAATTAAGAGGTTTTGAGTATTACTTATTGCTTTTAAGTTAATTATTCCAAGGTCTATGTACCTCTTTTTCAGAGGATTTCTATTTAAAAAAAGGAAGTAATGTAAAATCTGTAGAACCTCTTTGTTAGATGGTATAATCTTCTATTCTGCTTGTATGTTTTTATTAGAAAACATTGGAAATTAAGGTTTCCTTGTGCCTCATTAAGTTAAGAGAGTTACAATTGGATGCCACCTTTGTGCCTGCCTCAAACTAAATAAGATTTGCAAATAGGTGTCCCCTGTAACTGATCAATGTGATTATTTGTATTAAATCACCCGCCACACACATCTTAAGAGCAGTCATCTGGTCCTCTTGATAAAGCTGAGCTATGTGTTCAGGGCCAGTCCCTGTGCCCGTCCCTTAAGTGGGTAAAGCTAGCCTGTGGTGTGTGTGTGTGGCTGAGGTCAGGAAGGGGGCTGCCTGGAGCAGAGGAATTAACATCTCAAAGTTACTGGTATTGCTGCTGCACAAACCATCACAATGAGCTTCTGTCCCTTAGTATCTTGAAATGTCCTCAAAGAAACTCTGGCCAATTCAGAAGATTCTTATCTTCCAGATCCTAAAATTGTAGACCCATAAGTCCATTTAAAGTTTCATTATGTGACTCATACCTGTAGTCCCAGCTTCTCAGGAGGCTGAAAAAGGAGGATGGCTTGAGCCCAGGAGGTGGAGGCTGCCATGAGCTATGATGGTGCCACTGCACTGCAGCCTGGGCAACACAGCAAGAACCTTTCTCTTTAAAAAATGTTATTGAGTAATTTAATTATTATACTATTGATTGACTAATAGATAACATTTTACTAGATATAGAGAGCATCTCTTGGGTGGCTTCACTGTAAATACAGATCTAGTTTTTATCATCTCATTTTCTAAATGTTCTTATGTTTATCTCACTGAGTAACACTCACTCATCCTAGATATGACCAGACACCATTATCATCTTTAAGCCTGAGGTATTAGAAAAATAAGCCACTGATACTGGAGATATTTAAAGAAATATGATTTGTTTAGAGATCATTATTTGAAATATAAAATTCCCTCTAAAACCTAAATATTTAAATGATTGGTAATCATATTTCTAGCTACGTTTATCCAGGTAAATTATACTCATTCATTATTACCACTTAGCACTTTTAAACCAAGTAGATTTATTTCATTTCTATCAACAATTATTATTCACGTGTGCAATTCATATGAAATTCATCTTAATGAAACTCACTAATTTAAGTAGAATGTTCTCAGGTCTTCAGTCAAGAACCTAACGATGGTTTCATTTCCCTCTTTTCAAAATAAAATCCGTGTGTAGTTAATGATATAATGACTATAATGCATGGAAGATGTCAGAAATTAATGTAATGCCTTGCAAGATGTGAATTTGCTTCTTGTAAAGAATGGGTGAAGTGTGCGGTGGGAAATGTAGCACTCACCCAGCTTTAATGCTACTCAACGCCCACGAAGCCTGGAGCTTCAGTGTTAAATCATGATTTTATTCTTTGCCTAAATCACTTTTTCCTTTTTCTTCAATATTTTTGTATTTTATTTTTTAATTAACTGAATCATAGGAAGTAACTGCAGTGCTGTAAGCCTAGGGTTGTAATTTCAAAACTAGTTGAGAAAATATAAATTACTCATTTTCCTTTTCACTGGTTATTGCTCTTTGGGAAAAAAAAAAGACAACAGTGGGGATATTAGGGATCTTCTAGTCCAATTTATTTTATGGATGAGCAAACTTAGGCAGAGAGAGATGAAGCAAATGCCCCAAATCAAACCAATACCTCGGAGCAGAGCAGTGTGGCCACCCAAGCCGCCCTCCCAGTGCTGCCCACACACCAGCCAACGTCCTTGGTGGTTCCCAGATTCAACAGGAGCTTCTTCCATGGAACTTTCATTTGAAAACAACACAGATGTGCAGGTCTTCTCTGTCTATGTACACACAAATTTAAGAATCACATTTCTCCATCAATAAAAGGCCTTTGCTTGTCTTTTCCTTTAAAACCTCCGAGTTAGGAAATTAAATAAAGGGGTAGAAGGTGGCTTTGCTGGGCTCCTGCCTCCCTGCTCTGGGCCCTGGGCCGTTCCCACAGATGCCTTCCCCTCACACTCTCTGGCATTGGACCAGGAGGGAGGATCACTCCCAAGAGCTTCAGGAGTGTCCCCGCCAGGAGTATTTGCAGTGAAGAAGGTGCAGTCTTCTGTTTAACGATCTCTCTCCGGTGAAGGAATGTGCGATAGTCTAGTCATGTTGATAGTTTTGGACCAACAGTCCTGCGTGTTACCGCCTCCATTATGCCACAAATATTTATTCATATACTTATTTATATCCCTTGTTCCCAAAGGATTTGTGGCCATTCCACACCCTATAGGAAGCTGGTGTTTTGACTATGTTTAAGGCAAGTCTTCTGCAGCTTTTAGCGTACATATTGTAAGGTTTTAGGCACTTTTAGTCTTTACCTAATACTAAGATCTATCAGACTGTCCCTAAGGCTAACTACAAAAAAATAGATAAATGAATAAATAAATAAAATGGCAACAAGTAAGAATAGTAGCTGATCATCAAAATAGCCATATTGTTTTAAGTGAAAATTTTTGCTTATACAAAAATAAATTGAAAAGCCATATACTCAAAGTCTAATAAGCTCCTTTATACTAATAGGTGAAAACATTTTATCTCTTAGTAAAATGTTAATGCAATGTAAATGATGTTTTTCTACCTTAAGTAAATGTACCCCTCTTGACTATAAATTAATAGAAATAGATATAATTATAAGAGTTTAAAATACTCCCTTTTTTTAAAAGTAACATCTAAATTATATAAATATTAAAATCTAGAAAGGAAACAATACATGATTGGGTCAGCATCTTACTACAAGCATCACAAATTCATTATTAATTTTCTATTATCAAGTAATTTATTTCTGTGTATTAAAACATACAGGGTCCCACATAAATTATTGTTAATTGCATTAGTGTCATTTGTAGTGCTATATATGTTTCACTGAGCTTTAATGAGAGCTATTTAAATATGTACTATAATAAACATATTACACATCGAGTTTTTTTCCCCTAAACCTGCAGTTATGAAAGAAAAATGTAATCAGAAATCAAGAGGAATAAAAGTGGTAGGATTTAATAGAATCCTGGGAATGACCATGGAGAATAAGTTGTTTGGAAATTGTCGTTCTTTACTTTCAGCCAGTGTCCTGTCATATAATAACTTATTGTTCTCATCAACTTCTGTAACAGTGCTCAAATGTTAATATGCATAACAAATGTCTCAGGAAATTTGCTAAAATGAAGTTTCCGATTCCATGGGTAGAGGATGGGATGCCTGATTTTGTATTTTTGACAATCTCTCAGCCAATCCCAGTGCCACTGGCTTGCAATCATAATTTGAGCAGCAAGGTGGTAGCACAGTGAGTCTCAAATGTGGTCCATCACCCACCTGCAACAGGTTCACAGGATTGCTTGTTTAAAAAACATACAGAATGCTAGGAATCACTCCAGATCCAGTGAACCTACATTTTGAGACTAGAGCCCAGTTTTTAGCAAATCCTCCATGTGAAAGTTTACAGACAGCGAAGTTTGAAAAGCCTTGCTCCACAGGAATTCCACAGTTCAAAGGTATATGTGCCTTTAACCCTAAAGACATCAGAGTCAAGGGCACCTTTTCACAAAATAATCAAATTGAGACAAGGCTGTCAAACAGAGAACTGGTGCAAACAATTACTGCCCCCAAGCAGTAATGCCTGATCATCAACTGCTTGAGAAGCTGTCACCTTGTCTCTTTATTTGGTGACATAGTCTTTAACTCCAAGAACACTAGCCCACCAATGTCATCTGCATTAGAATCACCTGGTGGGCTTTCTAAGCAAGATTTCTGGGCCCACCCCAGAGTTTCTGAGTCAGTAGGTCTGGGTTGGGGTCCAAGCATCTTCATTTCTGATTTCCCATGTGATGCAGATGCTGCTGGTTTGGAGAACACACTTTGTCCTAGACTATTGCATAAGTTGGATCACTCATAAAGTCCAGAATTTTGGTGTTCCATTGCAGTTATTTATTCATTCCAAGTATTATTTTAAATGAGCATATTTATTATCCACAAACTGCCCACATGACAAGACAGTGCACAGGCCTTAAGAATGAAACAAAATATTGGTCCCTGTTTTCTGGGATGTTATAATCCAAGTAAATCGATCAAACTAACTCATAAAACCACTCAATGATACTTCAAGGAAGCACACAGCAATGTGTTAAAAATGAAAGAGTTATACTCAGAGAACTCCAAAAATTCTAACCCAGCTTGGATTTGGGTTAGCTTAGATTGGGTTAGCTGGGATAGATTTAATGAAAAATATGGCAGCTAATGTGTTCCTGTTTGCCGTGATAG
Organism: Homo sapiens; assembly: GCF_000001405.40. NCBI lineage: Eukaryota > Metazoa > Chordata > Mammalia > Primates > Hominidae > Homo > Homo sapiens. Next base: position 4,550,317 of record NC_000010.11, on the reverse strand, counting down.
CAAATTGAAAGAGCATTAACTCAGTATTTGTAGATTCTTTGTTTTTTTCTATGAAAGCATTGTATCTTCTTCAAATAAGAAGTGCTTGGTACCTTCCTTTCTGATCCTTATATTTTACATTTATTTTATTTAAAAATAATTTCTTATTGTGTTTTCTCACATATGTAATATTTCATGTGGTTCTCAAACAGGCCTGCCACAGTGCATGATTGAGTGAATTCATTCACAACCTATTCACATGAGGTTCAAAGGAAACAGCTCACCTTGAAGCTGGGCTCTGGGCTTTCTATTCACTTTGAATCTGATACGAGCAATGTAACCCGAAGGGTAACACACTGGTCTTCATGTTTTTTTGTATCCTTCCAGAAATTTTATGCGTCTTCATTTAGAGATGGATATGTAAGAATATTTTCAACATTTTTTAAAATTAAGCTTTCAAATATTACATATTGTCTGTAACTTGTTTTATTCAACTAAAATATATAACTTAGATATTTTCCATGAATACTGTTTTTTTAGCCTTAAAAACTTCCCACTTTATAGATTGACCAATGTTTGTTTCATCAGCCTGTTCATAATGTATGTTTGTTTCATACATTAATAACAAATAGCATTTGTTATTAATGTATATTGAGGTTGTTTTCAACGATTTGCTATTATAAACAAGACCAGTGTAGGCAAACCCTCAAAAGAGACTCAGCCCAGGAGGGCTGTTGCCTTCACCCAGGAAAGAATTCAGGAATGAGCCAACAGTGAAAGAAAGCAAGTTTATTAGAGCTACAGGGTGCAGCAAAATGGCAGCTCCACAGCCAGAGCAGGACTTTCTCATAGACAGAGCAGCCTAGAGGGAAACTCATGAACTGCTGGCTAGCTTTATTTATGTCCACTCTTAACTATGTACTAACTGAGGGGTGAGGTATTCAGAATTTTCTAGAAGAGGAGTGAGAAATTCTGGGAACTATATAAGGTAACTACAGGTCATTGTCATGGCATTTGTAAACTGTCATGGTGCTGGTGGGAGTGTCCTTATGCTAATGAGCAGTGGGGGCAACTAGAGGTCGTTTTTGTCCCATCTGCTGGTTTCTTTTTCTTTTTTCTTTTCTTTCTTTTTTTTTTTTTTTTGAGACGGAGTCTCACTGCAACCCCCAGACTGGAGTGCAATGGCACAATCTTGGCTTGCTTCAACCTCTGCCTCCCGGGTTCAGGTGATTCTCCTGCCTCAGCCTCCCTAGTAGCTGGGATTACAAGCATACACTATCATGCCGGGCTAATTTTTGTATTTTTCGTAGAGACACGGTTTCACCATGTTGATCCGGCTGGTCTCAAACTCCTGACCTCAGGTGATCCACCCACCTCGGCCTCCCAAAGTGCTGGGATTACAGGCGTGAGCTACCTTATCCGACCTCTGCTGGTTTCTTTATTGCATCCTATATTGGTCAGCGGGGTGGTGATTGGTTTTTGAAAATAAATCCTGCTGATCTCCTACCTCAAGACCACAATGAACGAAATCATTCATAAGTTACACAGCGAGTAGTCAAGCTATATGATCGATCATGAGAAGTAAACTGCCAGTTCAAAGAAAATGTATGCATTTTTTATTTTGCTAGTATTGCCAAAATGCCCTCTGTAGGGGTTGAAGGTATGTGCAGACCAAAAGGTGTGTATGGGAACACAGCTTTCCCCAGAGTTTTACCCTCCATGGTTACATAACACGTGGAATGTTCCCAATCTGATAGCAAAAAGTGGAGCTACAGGGAATTTGAATTTCCATTTCTAGCGTTAGCAGTAGAGGTTGGCATCTTTTCCTATGTTTAAAGGCTGTTTCTACTTCCCTTGCCTTGAACCCTTTGTTCATTCTCTTTTCCCATTTTTCTTTAAGATTGTTAATATTTTTCTTATCATTTGTTTGACTTTTGTATTTCAGTAAACTTTAATTTATTAGGAAGATTCTCTTCTTTCTGTTCCCTCCAAGGTGTGAACCCAAACGTATTATTTTAGTTGTTGGATGGTTTTACCATAGGAAATGAAGAGTTTTCTTTTTAACATAGTAGGCTTATAAAATATAATAAAGGCCGGGAGCAGTGGCTCTTGCCTGTAATCCCAGCACTTTGGGAGGCCGAGGCGGGTGGATCACAAGGTCAGGAGATTAAGATCATCCTGGCGAACGTGGTGAAAAACTGTCTCTACTAAAAATTCAAAAATTAGCCAGGTGTGTGGTGCGTACTTGTAGTTCCAGCTACTCAGGAGGCTGAGGCAGGAGAATCGCTTGAACCCGGGAGGCGGAGGTTGCAGTGACCCGAGATCGCACCATTGCACTCCAGCATGGTGACAGAGCAAGACACCCTCTCAAAAAAAAAAAAAAAAAGTATATCGTTTTTTATTTCCACTGGATTTTAAATAATAATTTTAAAAACCCACTTAAAACTTACAAAGAAAAATTATTTGTATGTTATTTTAATGAATTTAATTTTTATATTCAAATCATTTATCCCTTAGAAGTGTAATCTGGTGAACATTGTGAAATACATATCACACTTACTTATGTTTCCTCCAGACAGCCACAAGTTGTTCTATTAATAATACCATTTATTTAAATGTATTTCCATATGATCTATAGTGATGTTTCTTATTTATGGTTGATAATAGTTATTTGTTCCATCTCTGTTTTTTCTTGGCCAATTTCACCAACAATGTATCAGTTTTATGAGTCTCTTAAACCAACCTCTGGCTTTGGTGATCCTCTGTGTGATTTACTATTCTATTAGTTACTTTTACATTTTATTTCTTTTGTTGTTCTGTCGTTTGCATTTTTTTGCTGTTATTTTTCCAGTTTCTTAAAATAAATATGTCTTTGGCACATTGTTTTTAAGGCTTCATAGATCTAAATGTGAGAGCTGAAAGTATAAAAACTTTAAAAGAAAACATAAGGGGAAAATTAATGTCCCTTCGTTTGGCAAATATTTCTTAATTATGAAATAAAAAATAAGATTGGGTACAGAACTGCATTTATTAATAGTACTTTTATACTCAGTATTTTTGTTGATTAACTTATTTTACATAGCAGAACCTTGATTTACTTAAGAGATAGAATCACAAATTGGGGAAACAGACGTTTAAATGTAGTTTGAATAAAAATAAACAAATAAATAAATAAATTTAAATAAAATTAAATACATAAATAAAATTTATTTAAATACATTAAATAATAAAATAACAAATTAAATAACTAAAATTAAATAAATAAAAATGAATAAAAATGTATGCTTTTTCAGAAGACACTGATAAGAGTAAAAGGGCAAGCCACAGAGTAAAGAAAAATACATGTAAAACATATATCCAACAGGAGATATGTATCTAGAACATATAAAGAACTTTCACAACTCAATCACAAAAAGACATGTAATTTTGAACAACAACAACAACGAATAGGCAAAGATTTGAACAGACAGTTTACAAAGAAGATACATGGATGACTAATGAAAACATTAAAAAGTGTTCAATACTTAGTCATTATGGAAAAACAAGTCAAAACCACAATAAGACACCCCTCCCTACCCAGTACAGTGACTAAGGTTAGAGCGACCACACCACATATTGATGCGGATAGGACTAACTGGAGCCTTCAGTGCTTTCTGGTGGGCGTGCAAAACGGTGCAGCTGCCCAGAAAACCATTCCGCAGTTTCTCAGAAGTTAAACATAAACCTACCATATGACCTAGCCATTCCTTTCCTAGGTATTTACCCAAGGGAAATGAAAGCATATGTCTACACTGAGACTTACAGCTTTAAAAGAAAACAAACCAAACTCGATTTATAGAAACCAACATTTCAGAGTCACTTAAGCTTTGCAATATAGGCCAGCACCTCAAAGGGTCATTTAAAATTCAGTAATAAGAGACAACTCAGGTCTTCTTGATTTTCATCAATTATTTTCTACAATGTGGTGGGAATCAATGACTTTTGGAAATTGTGGTATAAAGGGAAGACGTGATACATAAATACAGGAAAAAAAAGACAGCAATCGAGCATGGAAACATAAAATAGAAGAAGACGCATGCTAATGAACACACCAACAAATAAAATACTTTTAAGACAAATATACTAAAGACACAGTTTTATCCCATTGAATAACTTAAAATATGCAAGGATAATGTTTAGATATGTTTCACGGGATGATATGCTGTTATAGACTCAACCAGGCTGCAGAACGAGATCTGGGTTTTAGATTCAGGTGCGTAGCCCTGGGAAATCACTGCACCTTCCTGGCATTTGATGTGCTGTTCGGTTTCCGTGAGTCCTGGAAATGTGTTTAAGGTTTAAAATATTGATCTTCCAATGAAATAGCTCTCATCGGTACAAATACAATTTCAGATATCACTTTTTTAACGGGTGAACTATTTCTGCTTTTGGTGTTATTACTACATCGTCATAACGTTACTACTCCCACCAAATTTAGGAAAATTAAAATTGCCACTGATGTATGGAATGGTTATTTTAGAAAAACTTCTTAAAGTTAACCATGATTTACAAAAAATAATTTTGAATTTATCTGTTTCAATAATTTGCATAAAGTATTTTAGTTCAAGTTAACAATGGATATTATATAAAATGTACAATGCAGCAAATCTTCTCACTTTCTTCCAGTTATCCACATACTATATTAAGCTACGTAATTCACACCCCAATTGACAGCTACAAAATAAACTTTTCTAGAAATCTGAAACCTTTGTCTAATAATTCTCCCCATGTTTCTTGTAAATAAATAATTGAGGCTTAAAAGAAGTGCCATCTTTGCTCTTGTTTCAAAAGAACAAAGACCTAGTATCCTTTCTGTTTCTTAATAAAAAGTCCTTCGCATCAGAGATCAAGTCACTTACATTCGAAGGAAGCTAGTATTAATATTTCCTTTTCATTTTATAGTGCTTAGAAAGTAGTTCAAAGGATTTCCACACATCTGCAACTTAGATGTAGATACACCATGGCCCCTAAAAATGCAATCCTAGCATTCTCATGCTTTAAAAATTATCCAACGGACTGTCAACCAACTGTTTGTCCTAAATCATCTGGCTAACCGACCGATGACATCAGCCCAACTTAGTAAAAAGAGAAGTTAAAATCTGGCTTTGCCGTTTAACAGTAAGAGCAATAATAATTTTCCCCCAATCTTTTCGGCTATTTCTTTAAAAAGCTCACCTAAATTATGAGAAACCTAGGCAAACAATCTAAAACGTAGCTTAACTTTTTCATGAGTTAACAAATGATAGGACACACACACTGCAACTCAGGTAAACAGAAGTAGAGGCATTAGGTGGGTTCATTTTCTTCTCTTTTTTTTTTTAAATTAATTCTCTTTTTAAAAAAATTGTACTTTAAGTTCTGGGATACATGTGCAGAATGTGCAGTTTTGTTACATAGGTATACATGTGCCACGGAGATTTGGAGCACCCACCAACCCATTATCTAGGTTTTAAACCCTGCATCCATTAGGTATTTGTCCTAATGCTGTCCCTCCTTTCACCCCCCACGCCCCCCCGACAGACCCTGGTGTGTGACGTTCCCCTCCTTGTGTCCATGTGTTCTCATTGTTCAACTCCCACTTATGAGTGACAACATGCGGTGTTTGGTGTTTCTGTTCCTGTTTTAGTTTGCTGAGAATGATGGTTTCCAGGTTCATCCATGTCCCTGCATCATTTTTCTTACCCGCTCCAGGCACACCCAAGTTGCATCGTCCCTGACAATTATACTCGAGAATATCTTCCCTGATGAAAAAACAAAAACAAAACAAAGCAACAACAAAACTCAAACATGATTGTATTGGAACTTCAGTTCTCCGTACATAAAATAAAAAAATAAATATGCATTAAGCAGGTGTATCTCTATTGGGAATAATTTTTGTTAACGTAAGAAGAATATCTGCCTGAGTGATATTGGCAAGCCCCGCAGGCTGTGCATGCCTTTGCTCTCTTTCTTCCCAGTGACGTCCTGGAGCACTGTTTGTCAGCATTTCGTGTTTCCCATTTGGCAGTAATAATCTTTCTAAGTTTGACAAGAATTAAGTCATTTCAAATGGTTTTCAAGGCTCATTTTCAATTCATGTTGCAAATTGCAGTATATGAAGCATGTAAAACACTTGTTTCAATGAGAACATGATGCTTGCATTTAGTATTTACACGATATGAAATAAATCATGTCAGAATTAATAAGGTCCAATTCTATTAATGTCAGAAAAGATTAACGTAGGTTCCCTCTTCTAAGCAGACTCACCTGATACTCTGTGAATTATTCTTGACAGTGTTAAAATTAGACTAAGCCTACAAATAAAACAGACCAGCAAGTAAATTGAAGTAATAAATTAAGATATTGTGTAAATAAAGGTGTCTGTGGTAGAAGAAGCCAGATTTGATTGAAAATCCTTACTAGATTTGTTACCAGGAACATACTTATGACTGTATCTCCTGATAATCCCAGTTGCCTCTGAATTGAGCTTGTTTCTTGACATGCGTTTTTTATTAAAATGTAATATTTATACATGGGATATAAAAAAAAAGTAGTGGTAACTAGGAGAGACTATGCCACAGCAAGTGAGCATGATTTAATAATATAACAAAAGAGATTGTCAGGTAAATTAACTTGATCAGAAGTAGCTAGCTACATGCATATTAGCTAAATGCATAACCTCATCAGTTTGTATAGTTAGTGAAAATGTGGATGGGTGATTTAACTTGAGTTATCCCTTTGATTTCCACATTTACTTCCATTTGTTTTCTTGCATGGATTAGTACTCAGGGGATCTGTTTCCCTAGAAAGAAAGAAAGACAAAATGTCTGTTTAATTTAACTTTTCACTGAATGCTTTCTATGAGGCATATGAAAATGTTATTTTAAAATATGCTTATTATTCCAATTGGTAATAAATGATATTATTCCTAAATTTCATTACAAATATTGATCAAGTTGGGAGGACTGGGAAAGAAGGAAGAAAAAGCAAATTTATCTGAAATAATGAGGAACGATATAGGAATTTTACCATGTTATTAATAGGCAAAGTACTTAACAAATGGTATTATAGATATTATTCTTTATGATTTATATATTATATATACATTACTCAAAGCTTAGTGTGTATGTTTTTATTTAAATTCTCTGAAATATTTTATGTAAAATTTATTATAATCCAAAAAAATGTAGTTAACTCATGGTAGAAAAGTTTGTAAGTAACTATAAATAAACCGAGATTTTATTTTCCCCCAAAGAGCATGCTTTGGAAGCCATGGGTTAATGCATGGCTTTAAACATTAAATTGAGAAGAATAAAATGAGGAAATATGTAAGACTATAATTGCAAGGCTTATGAGGAAGTTGCTTGTAGTTTACATTGTAATCTCATAACATATCTGTAACATAAAATATCTCTGAAGGATTCAAATAACACTTTGTAGGAAAATGTGAGGGAGACCTGCAGGACAAGTGGATGAAAGTCAGAGAAATACTCTTCCCCCCAGAGTGGTGTGCAAAGCAGAGGATACATGACATATTTGTTAAACAGTTGGTAGTTAGTATACAGCTGCTTCAAGGACTATAAGGAATATGGAAAGTATAAACGACGTTATCAATGCCCTCACTAAGTTTGTACTCTAATATGACAGGTAAGATTTATTGTATACAAATTAGTGATGACGATTAATAAGATGACTAAATAAGTCAATGCTAAGCATCAAGTGTTGAAATCAGTTGTAGTTGGGGATTTTCAAGGCTAAGTGACTTTGGGCATTATGGTAATATTAGGGCATTAGAGTACAGAGGTGGGGAGGGAACATGAGAAAACCCCTGTGAACAAGTATTTAACGTCAATAAGGTAAAAAATGCTTCCCAAATGCACCTCTGTGTATGTAAAGAGATGTCCCACAGATGGCAGTTCTTAATAAGGAAAGCTTGGAGACAAACTTGACTTTCAATAACAGAGAAATAATAAATAAAAGGAGATGTTAATCCATATCAAGTAATTAGCTAGAAGTTGAAAATTATACTTTCCATGTTAATACTATTCAATTCTTTGGGGCAAATTGTATTACCTATGCTAAGTGACAATAAAAACCAGGGTTAAAAACTTTGTGTGGAGCATAATGTTTTTTCGTTTTAGACATGTGAAATTATTTCTGGGTCAAGATGTCAGGTGAACTCTACCTGCAACTGCTCTTCTCCACAGCAAATATCCACACCTGCATGCTCACACCTGCATACACACACCTGCATGCTCACACCTGCATGCTCACACCTATATACATAGGCACACACACAGCACACGTGCATGCCTGTTGTTGTGATGGCTGCAGATCTCAAAATGGAAGACTTACATGGAGCAGAATCCAGGAGAGGAACATCAACATTGAATAGGGCTGAACTAACAGGGCCATGGGCAGCTTCTGAGAGTGATAAAGGCATCAAAGTTAGAGCTGTGTTTCACTTATCTGTTACCAAATTAAAAGCCACTCCAAACTTCGTGGCTTAAAGCAACACCCTAGTGTCTGACAGCTGGAAGTAGGCTCAGGTAGAGATCTCTCTGGTCTCACCGTTGCCTCTCAGCTGGCTACAGATGCCCAGCTGGGCCTGAATGACCCGGGGTCCACATTTTTGTGTCTAATAAAGGTGCTGTTGGTCTGCTGGGCTACATGTCTCCAGCAGGCTGGGGCTGGCTTCATGTCATGATGGTCAGGCTCAAGAGCAGCAAGAGGGAAAACATGCCCCAATCCACAAGCACATTTCAAATGCCTGCTTGTGTCACATTTGCTAATATCCTGTTGCCAAAGCAAATGCCAGGGCTGTGTCAGTTTTGGAAGGGAATGCAGAAGGGCAAGGATACAGAGAGGTGTGACTCACTGGGAACTATGAATGTACCAGGAAATTCCAGATCCCAGGGAACATCTGATATTGCTGTAACTGCCCAGAGTAAGAGCTAGGAGGAGCCTCTGTGGTACAATTTGACTAGAGACCAGCACTGCAGAGGGCAAAGTTTGGCCCTTCTAAAATCACCCTAAATAAAATTGAGCACATTGGGAGGGGAACACTTTGCTGTTATATGTGTCATAAAATAAAAATTATAAAATATCTTAGCGAGTTTAATATAATAAAGTACACAGTCCAAAACAGTACAGAATATATATCTGAATGGAAACAATGGAAAAATGTGAAAATGATTTTAAGTCAAGAATAGTCATAGTATCCGAAGATGTAAAGGAAAGAATAGTAACCATGAATACAACAACAGCTATATACAAAAATACCAGCTGGGAGCTGGCACGGTGGCTCACACCTATAATCCCAGCACTTTTGGAGGCTGAGGCGGGTGGATCACAAAGTCAAGAGATAGAGACCATCCTGGCCAACATGGTGAAACCCCGTATTTACTAAAAATACAAAAATTAGCTGGGCATGGTGGCACACACCTGTAGTCACAGCTACTCAGGAGGCTGAGGTAGGAGAATTGTTTGAACTTGGGAGGCAGAGGTTGCAGTGAGCTGAGACTGTGCCACTGTGTTCCAGCCTGGTGACAGAGCGAGACTCCATCAAAAAAAAAAAAAAAAAAACAGCTTGAAATCTTAAAGTAACACCACAAAAATACAAACTTCAATGAGTGCCATAAAGAGTCATTTTGGCACAACAAACAGAAATAATGAACAAGAAATTAGAGAAACATGGGAAAAAAATCAAAAAGACCCAATATATATCTTTTAGGAGATCCAGAAGGAGAAAATAGATACAATGGGCAAGCAGTCATATTGAAAGAAAAAACATGCTTGAAAATATTCCAGAATTTAAGAAATAAATGATTTTTTTGGCTGAATAGCCAACTGAGGGCCAAGAAGCTTTGAAAAATTGTGTGCTTGTGTGTGTGTTTGTGTATGTGTCTATATAACTAAAACTAGAAATGAACATAGCAAAACACAAGTGGCAAATCACTAATTACATGACCTAATATTTTTTCTTTATGTATGCCACATTTTCTAACACTTTACTATGAGTATATGGTGCTTTCTTATTCATAAATACCTAATTTAAATATAAAAATACTAATGCCAATGACATTTGACAGGAGGATGAGGAATAAATGAAATTTGAATGGGGAAGAAATCTATGTTAGGACCTATGGTAGTCTCGGAAGGTGTTGTACAATTTGGAAAGATGAACCCAACCGCACTAAATGAAATAAGACTTTTTTTTTGGTAGCTGGGCATCTTCTAAAATTATAGAATCCTATCAGTTTCTGATAATATAAAATCAAATCATACATTTCTCAATGTAAACCACCACTTGAAACTCACAGAGGCCCCAAGCCTATTGATAAAACAAATATAACTGGATTTTCCACTTTTTAAATCTTATAATACCTGAAACGGCATAAAGGTACTTCCTTTTATCAAAAGAATTTTATTAGCAGCTAACGATGAACATGCTCCTATCTCTTCCAAGGAATGAGGTAGGACATTGCTTTTCTGTTATTGATTGCCAGCTTCGGGACCTACTTAAGATGAGTATTTAATGTTTTTCCACTCTCATTTTTCCTTGGTGATAATTTCGGTTATTGTGCAGCTAATATTCATTCCTGGCACCTTCCACTCTGGGCAGAGTATACCTCTCCAAACCACTGTTGTGTGTAACCATGTAACTTACCTTGGCCAATGCAGCGTTAGGAGATGTGGTATAAGCAGAGGATGTACATGCGTTTGCATGGTATGGCTTGGCTCTTGTGCTCTGATGGTGTGCCATGGGAAGAAAATGCCTAATTGGATACTACACCACCTTCGGTCCTACACCACCTTCGGTCCTAATGCACCACAAGCATACGTGGAGCAGATCTGAATCAGGTCCATAGCTTGCAGCCAGTCCTTGAACCAGCAGCTCAGACAAGAGTTGTCCAGTCAGGCATGAGCTGGATCAAATAGTGCTCTACTTGAAGACCCACAATATAAAAACATATGCTTATTGTTATAAGCCAATTTTGTGGGGATTTTTTTGTACATTATTATGACTGTAGCTGACTAATAAATCCTTTCTCTTTTCTTTTCTTTGTCTGTCTCCTATATGGCCTTTATTATTAGAAAAAAAACAACAAACAAGATCTGAGCTGAAATTAAATGAGGTAAAAGGATATTGCACTTCATGGAAAACTGAGCTTAAGCAAAAGTGAATGTCAGACATGATTGAGTAGATAGGTGCTGAGATACCATTATCCTCTGCTTATCTGGACACATTGAGTCTGTCTGTGTCAGGCAAGTCCAAATTGTTTCGATTCAGTAATGAAACTGGAAAGACTTATTAATGCCCTATGCTAAAAACCATTTCATATTTTGCTTTCAATGCTGAGGTCTTCCACAGTTAGGGAAATCCATCTAGTTTTTCAAGGTGCCTGCAGATATAATTTTTTTTTTTTTTTTGAGACAGAGTCTCACTCTTTCGCCCAGGCCAGAGTGCAGTGGCATGATCTCTGCTCACTGCAAGCTCCCCGTCCTGTGTTCACGCCATTCTCCTGCCTCAGCCTCCAGAGTACCTGGGACTACAGGCATCCGCCACCGCCCCCAGCTAATTTTTTGTATTTTTAATTGAGATGGAGTTTCACCGTGTTAGCCAGGATGGTCTCGATCTCCTGACCTCGTGATCCACCCGCCTCGGCCTCCCAAAGTGCTGGGATTACAGGCGTGAGGCACTGCGCTCGGCCCAGACATAATCTTATACTGGATAAATTGCTATGTCATGCTGGTTTGAAAGTTGAGGCACCTGGATGAAGGTCTATAGGTGGAGTCTTGGCCTCCTGGTGCCATGGTAGGAGTCCCTCCAGGCCCTATGACTTTCTGAGTCAATAATTGCTAGGAAGGGTTTTCAATCTATTCTTTCCCCACTGACTCCTTCTCCAGCCCCAACCTTAAACTACCAATGAATACGTGCATGATTGTTACTTCACTGGGAGTCAGTGAATTCCCTCCTTACTCACCGATCATCAAATGGATTAAAGACATTGAGACAAATTAAATCAACAGCTGTGGCAGTAACATCTGTGCTTCACCTTATTAGCTAGTAAGGATGTTATGAGACTGTCTAGCTGAGACTGACTCACGACCTCACAGCAGTATCTTCTCACTCAAGGATACAGCTCTTAATTCCTCATCTGAATGTCATGGTATCTTCCATAAATACTCTCTGTATCCTGAAATGTCACAACTACAAGTGTTAAATGTCTTAACACGTGCCCTTTGGTTTGTCTGCATACTGTATTGGGCTATTTCCATCTACTCTCATGACACTTATTACAAAGCATCTGGCTTTACTCTTTCTCATAGATGCTTTAAGTAGGAAATTCAGGTACCAGCTTCAAACTTTCTCTCACCTGAGGAAGAGAGCCCAGTGTATTAGTAAAGTTTAAAAATCTTTCGTTGAGGCAATCCCAATGACAAGAACCGGTGATATTCTGGGAGTATGTCCCATGAACTTCTCTCCTTGGCTTATTTTAATCTGGATCACTTGGCTATAATACATAATAACCATGAATGTAACTGCTTTCAGGGAGTTCTGTGAATCTTTCTAGGAAATTATTCAACTCCAAGGGTGGTCTTGAGGACCCCAAATTTACAAATTTTGTGAGATGTGAGATGGTCTTGGGACTCCCACATTTTTCAATTGGTGTCAGAAGTGAGAGTCCTCTTGGAAACTCCTTAACTCTGTAGTTGGTGTCACGAGTGAAGTTGTCAGAAGGAGATGCAGGGCTAGCTTACATGCCTTCTTGTGTGTGTGTTCACACTCAACATGAAGTGTTTGGAAGGGAAGGTTCCTACTAGATAGATCCCTCCAACTCTGTGGGTGATCTTGGGAAGAGGGGGTGGGAAAAATGTTGGCATGATTATACAATTATTTCCCACATCACCTCAACTTTCTTTTCTTCTACCTAATGCAGTGGTCCTGAGACTAGGGCTGCAAATCTGGATGCTGGCAGCATGGATTATCCTGTAGCAAGAAACTGAAACTATATTTTTATTTTATACTAGAATTCTAAGGGACTGATGGGGTGGACTGTGCATTGATCCCTTCTGGGAAAACTGGGATTGACAAAGAATATAGCAATATTGTCTGATTGAAATAGCTCGCTAATTCTGTACCTCTGTAACCCTAATGTACACTACTGAGCATGGATTGAGTGGACTTGCTAGATTGGAATTACTGCAGGCTATCTAGACCAGCACAGTCATCGAATTCAATGATCCTTCCAAAAACAGATGTTTGGGTAAATGTAATGATAAAGGAGAAAAGAAGGAATAACTGGGTTAGGCAGTGAGGCAAATCTAATACTATATTGATGTCTCCTGAGAGGTTCTGATCATGAGATGATATTGTCTTTTAGCTCAATTATCCTGGATGTCTGAAAAGGTGAGACCATATGTTGTTACGAGCACTCCTGATCCTGGAATTGACAAGGTGAAATGGAAGCCTAGAATCTGGGTGGCATCTGTCTGGGAGATGCTGTGGCTATGTAATATCACGAGAAACTGGAGTGATTGTTAAAAATGGAGTAAGACTCTACCAATGGACCAGTAGCTTTTGACTTACTTTTCAAGTTACATTTACTACCATAGTGTGATATATTATAACACTGGTTTTGCTGGTAAGAGTCTGATACAGATATTGATAATAAAATGTATTGGGAAATACAATTAAAGCCTTCACAGGAGAAAATACCAATAAAAAAATGACTGGCCTGGGGAAAAGCTGGATTTAGCTAACCATCATCTAATTTCTATGCTAAGTAATTATGAATGAGTTTGTTGTAAAGTTCAAATAGCAATAGATAGAGAAGAACAATGAGTTATCAAATTATTACAAAAAAATGAAAATTTATGACATGGCTTTATAGGATGAATTAATTGCTTCTACAAATCTGTTCTTGCCCAATACTGATTTCTCCAAATGTTAGCCATATTCAGATGGATACTATTGATATCAATGTTACACTAAATGTAGATGCTCAAACAGATATGGTTGTTTTGTTGTAAAAGAACCTTGGCCGAGGGACATGGATAGTAGTAAAAAAGCTAAACTTTCCCAAAGAGAGGCCTGTGCTTTGCCTTTGCCACCCAGGAGGTCATCTCTAAGCTCTCAGAATGTCCTGTCTGATAAAAGTGTCTTTTGTACCTGGGAGTCTTGGTCCACACCAGATTGTCTAACAGTGTGATTTTGGGTGTTGCTTTGGGCCATGCAGTGTCACCTCAATGTTGGGAGGGGTTGGACTCTAAAGATGAGCCAAGCAGGTGTTTGTCGATGATGTGTATGTGGCCACTCTAGACACAAGGCTTGGGACCTTCTTTGGTTGGCAGCGCTCCACGTAAATCATACCCATCATTTCTTGGAGACAGCACTGCCCACAATCCCACTGGCAGAGGGCGGCTGCATACCTGGGAATCTCCTGGACTCTGCTCCATGCACCTCTTCCCTTGGCTGAGTTCAATTCATATAATTCTGCTGTAATAAACTGTAACTGCGAGTATCACAGCTTCCAGTGAGTTATGTGAGTCCTTCTAGGAAATTATCAAGCCTGAGTGTGGTATTGGTGACTCCTTAACTTCACAGAAGTATGCATAATTACGTATGGAGTACTGCTGCCAAAAAACACATACTTGAATCTAATTATGAGAAATAATTGACAGATCCTGAATGTGGAACGTTTTATAAAAACAATTAGCTGGAACTCTTAATTATGCCAAAAATCTGAAATGAATAAACCAAAGAGGTGGAAAGATTTTTTCTAGTATAAAGAGTTATAACACTCAGAAAACTGCTTCTCCTAACCACAGAATAAAAGTCTTTCTGTTCAGATAGTTTAGGCCAATGTAGGTCACATGCCCACCCTTGGACCAATCAGATACACCAAGGGATGGCTGTGCATTGCCTGGCATAGGCCTGAGTTTATGAACCACTCCTGGTAGAGTTCATGAGGTTGCTCTGGTTTGCTCAGCCTATGCAGAGACTACCCTGGGAATTGAGGCTGGGGTCATGTTTCCTTATCACATACACTATAAGGAGGAAAAGAGCATAGGCAACACCTCTATCCAAGGCATACCCACACTTTATTCTGATTTTAGGTTCAAACATACAGAAACAGCCAATGTCCACCTACTTCTAAAACTCAAGTGACACTACAAACATAGAGGTATGTTATGGTACTTGGACTCCAACCACAGAGACCAAGTTTTAATATAGGTCAACATAAACCAAATGCTATTGCGACAACGAAAGATGAATAATAGCTATTTAAAAATCATTAATTAACATGGCTTGGCAACAGACACTTTTTGTCTAAGATACCACTAATATTGATTAAAAATATCTGTAGCCCCTGGTAGCATGCTTCACCATGGGTAATCTTCTCCCTCCGTTTCACTCATATATATATATATTTTTTCCTAACAGTTGGCAGGTAAGAGCAAGTTTGAGATATGTTTCAAATTTCTAGGTCCAATTTAGCCAAGAAATATCTAATTCATTTTCTTGCATCAATTTCTTTAAAAGTCGTACTCCCTTGAATCCTTTTTTTTTTTTTTTTAAGATACAGGGTCTCTGTCACCCAGGCTACTGGAATGCAGTGTTGCCATCAAAGCTCACTACAGCCTTGAACCCTTGGGTTCAAGTGATTCTCCCACCTCGGCCTTCAGAGAAGCTGGGACTGACTACAGGCATGAGCCACCATGTCTGGCTATTTTATTTTATTGGTAGAGATGAGGTCTTACTATGTTGTCCAGGCTGGTCTTAAACTCCTGGCCTTAAGCAATCCTGCAAACTCGGTCTCCCAAAATGCTGGGATTACAGGCTTGAGCCAGCGTGGCCAGCCCCCTTCTATTTTTAAAATTGGTTTTAGAATCCTAGAATTTTAGCATTAGAGGTCATCATAATGACTATAACAAATCAGGATATGGGCAAAACACAAGTCAAATCAATCGTATACCATTCTACTGGCATCAGAGGCTAAGTGTAGCCTTCTCCATGAACAAAACCTGAGAGGTGGTTCACAGAGTAGGAATTTACTCAGGTTTGCCCTGGGCCATGGCCTGCCAGGGTAACTAGAAATTAATCTAAACCTCAGTGGTGGGGTTTAATCTGGCCATAATTTTCTTTCAGCCTACAAGACAGTCTTGATGGTTGCTGTTCTTTTATTTCTCTTCATGCAACATAGAGTTTGACAGTTTAATTGATCCATCTGTATTTCTTAGGTCAAAGAGATATTCCATTGCTAGAACATTTTTTAGAAGTTTTAATACACATTTCTATATTGCTTTCTTACCTTGACCCTCCACCCTACGATCTGTTCTTTTACACAAAAAATGAATACGTGAATTAAAATTTTGATTAACAAACCAACAAATAGTAAAACACTAGCTTTTCTTAGGCAACAGATGGTGCAATCCTTGTAAGACTGCTTTCCTGGGCTGTGAACTCAGGACTTGCCTGTGGACAGGCTGGGCTTTTGACTGTAGAATTATTTACTCCGAAATGACATGCACGCACGGGCTTGTTCCACTTCCCTTCAGCCACATTTTATTTACCTCACTCTTTGCAGCATATAATATGGCATGATGGAATTCCAAAGAATACCTATCTCTGTATAGCCTGCAATAAATTTTCGTGAGGCATCATTCTGAAAAGATAAATGTATATGCTGATAACACTGTAAATGTGCAGTGCCCAAGAAACAGATTGGAGGCTTGGATTTCGCATATGTGTTGTCACATGTATGATATTTCCTGATTTGTTATGGTCATGAAGATGACCTCTGATTCTAAAATTTGATGATTTCAAAAAATAATAGAAGAAAATAGAAGTGATTTAAGAGAGTATAACTTTTTAAAAATTGGGTGAAAATAAATAGATTAGATGTTTCTAATGTTTAGGTTGGACCCAGAAATTAAAAACACATCTGAAACAAAATAATATTAAAAACAAAAGTAAAAGTAGGAATTAGAAATGCACATTAAAATAAACTAGGAACATCTTAGTTTAAAGAATTCAAATATATGATTGGGAAATACTAAAAAAAACCATCAGATGATTAGCAAATTAATATAAAGTTTTAAATTACATGAACCTAGGACTACAGCCAGGAACGATGCAGTTGCCACATGGGGTGAAATGCTGAGATCAGAAATGATAGATTTGTTGCCAGCTGAAACAACTCCAATAGCTTTTTAAAATTTTGTGATACTCACTTAATAATATAAAAATAAAAATGACTATTATTTTGAAACATTTTATTAGAAATAAATTGTTAGTAATGCTACTATTTTGAGTAATTATGGCTCTGATTAGCCCAGAAGAAAATATACACACTAAACTGGTTTTATTTTTAACGATGAAAAATGTTTTTTTGTTAAGATAAAAAGTTTAAAGTCATCAAGCTTTAAAATATTGTCTGAAATTCAAACATTAGGAAAACAGACTAAAATACACCATGAAAGTGGCTCATTTTCTTTTATTGGGGGATTATACATTCTCTATAAATCCTCAAAATACAAGTAAATGTCAATTTGTAATAGTTCTTTGCTACAAAATGGAAGACTGGTCATAAAAGAAAATGAAACACAGATATCTAGCGTTTCCAGGGGAACACTTGAGTAATATGATGAATAATGTTAGTGAAATCCATTCTGGGAAGCATTTTTGTAACCTGATTTTCTCAGTAAACATAAAACATTGACATCTCCATCTGACAAACGCTCATATCAATGGATTAAACACACCATGTGCTCCCATCGTAGCCCTGATAGCATGACACAAAACACAAAAAAGGTGAAAATACTTTCAATCTTTATGGGAAAGGATCAACTGACTTTTAACCTGCTCAATCCTCTCACTGATATTCGATAACAATTTATCCTTTAAATACTACTTAATTTAGCCTTAATTTATTTTCTGGCAGATGACTCCAGGCAAAGAGCAAGCTTGAATTCAATAAGAACCCATTTTTCCTTCTTGACTTTCATCCTTTCAAAGAATAGATAGCACAAATTGGTGGAGAGTTTTTAAACTTTATTTGCCATGTCATTTCACAAAGATGACTAGAAAATCAAGCCAAAAGTGTGGATCATCTGTTCTCAAAAGCATGTCAGGCTTCTGGTGATGGTGGAAACGTGAAGTAGTAATGTGAACAATTACAAAATAAATACACTGTAAAAATACTTATTTGAATATGCTATAGATAGCACCTTTATATCTATATTTAGATACATATATATATACACACATGTTACACACATGCACACACACAAACACACCCACACACACTCCTATGTAGATGGCCAGGTATAATAAATATCCTAAAGCAAGGAGGAGAAGGGAGATTGAACTTGACAACTTCTTAAGTTCTTGGAACTTGAGAAATGATTTTGGAAGAAGGAAGAGATGAAAGTTGTGACTTCCCAGGACACTTCTACTCAATTTTTGTAGCCACAACTGCGGACAAATAGTGCTAGGCAAAAACCACAGCCTCCTTGGTTCAAGGTGCCAGACAGATTTCAGGACTGGAAATGAAGCTAGAAAATTTAAAGATAAAATCCAGGGCTGCATGAGAACCATAAGAGTAAACAAATCTATAATTGATCAGCCGAGAAGATTAAGAGGAGATTTTGCATTTACCAAATAAAAACAAGATAGCAAGAGTAGGAAAAAATCATAGCACATAAAAGATGTTGTGGGAGTTTCAAATAAAAATAGCAGAATTGGCGACTGATTACAAGGGTGAAAAGATAAAGTTAAGAAAAACTGTCTGAATTAGTATAAAAATAAAAAGAAAATAAAAATGGTTAAAATATATGAACGCAATAAAATAAGTTTTGATCTATTGTATCCAAAACCCTACTTGTGTGTTTGTGTAATTAAGGAGATAAATTAATCAAGAAAATACTACATAAAATTGCTAGAATGGAATAACTTAAAAATGCCATATTAAAATTGCGCATCCAGAACCCAGCAAAATGAATTCAATGATCTCAATAAAAGCACATTTTTGTGAAATCTGAAAATACTGAGGATGAATAAGACTCTAATAGCTTACAGAGAGAAAATTTAATTTTCCTTTAAAGAAATAAAAATAAAAAATAAATTCATACTTCACTTCCACTTAAATTGGAAGAGAAATTAAAATTAATTCACACTCCCCATACTTCAAAAACACTGGTAGCCAGAATACAATGGAGTATGTCCTTCAAGTTATAAGATCATTTTTTTCGAGATAGGATATTGTCCTGTTTCTCAGGCTAGAGTACATTAGCGCAAGCATGGCTCATTGCAGACTCAACCTCCTGGGTCCAAGCAATCCCCCAGGCTCAACCTTCCCGGTAGCTGGGACTATAGGCACCCACCACCATACTGACTATCTTTATTTTTATTTTTTGTACACATGTGGTCTCACTACGTTGCCCAGGGTAGTCTTTAACTTCTGGGCTCAAGCAGTCTTCCTGTCTCAGCCTCCCGAGGTGTTGGGATTAGAGACATGAGCCACTACGGCCAGCCAGAAAATAATTTTCATCTTGGAATTTTCTGCCCAACAAATCTGTCAAATGAGGGGAGAATAGAGGTATTGTTAGACATGCAATGCCTTTTCTTTTTCTTTTTTTTTTTTTTTTTGAGACAGAGTCTCGCTCTGTCCCCCAGGCTGGAGTGCAGTGGCGCGATCTCGGCTCACTGCAAGCTCCGCTTCCCGGGTTCACGCCATTCTCCTGCCTCAGCCTCCCGAGTAGCTGGGACTACAGGCGCCCGCCACCGCGCCCGGCTAATTTTTTGTATTTTTAGTAGAGACGGGGTTTCACCTTGTTAGCCAGGATGGTCTCGATCTCCTGACCTCATGATCCACCCGCCTCGGCCTCCCAAAGTGCTGGGATTACAGGCGTGAGCCACCGCGCCCGGCCATGCAATGCCTTTTCAACCCCTTCTTGGGAAGCCGTTTACATCGTCGTCCTTTTCGCCTTCCACCTTACTGAGTTCTCTTTATGTTACCTCCAAAATACGTTTCTTGTCAGTCGACTTTCACTGTCACTCTCTCCATTCCATGCCACTTTTCTCTCTGTACCCTAGCAACCCCCTTTTTGTTTCCACAGAGAGTCTCTCACTCCTTTTTCACGTGGCATTGTGCAGCTTTCTAAATATAGTCATATTCACTCGTCTCACTAGGCTACCCCAGAACTTTTAACAGATACTTACTGTATTTGGGATAGAATCCTATGTTTAATGTAGTTAATAATGCTCTGGTAGCGTGGCTGGAGTCTTCGGGGGTGGAACCTACTTATCCAGAATCACTTGATTCTGTTACCCCCACCTCCGTGTCTTCCAAATATGGAGGCCTAACGTTTTCTTGAGCACATAAAACTCTTTCCTTCTGTAGGATTGTATCCCATGTTCTCTACCCAATCTGATTGACTCCACCCCTAATTTATAATCTTGTCTAATTCTTGCTTATTCAAACTTCATGTCTGCCAGTGTGCTGGGCTTCTGATTAAAGCAGTGCTCACACACACGTTTGACATGTAGCATCGTACCAGGTGCAGAGTGGATGCTCAATAAAATTGGCTGAATAAATAAATAAATTATTTTGCTTCTTTAAAATCAAGACTGCTCTGTCTGCCTGGCCATGGTGGCTCATGCCTGTAGCCTGTAATCCCAGTTCTTTGGGAGGCTGAGGCAGGAGGATGGCTTAAAGCCAGGAGTTTAAGATGAGGCTGGAAAACACAGAGAAAGACCATATCTTAAAAAAAAAAAAAAAAAAAAAATTAGCCAGTTGTGGCATCATGCAACCACAGTCTCAGCTACTCCAGAGCCTGTGGTGGGAGGATTATTGAAGCCCAGGGGCTGGAGGCTGCAGTGAGCTGTGTTCATGCCACTGCATGCACTCTGAGATTCTCTCTAAAAATAAAAAATAAATAGAAGAGAAAAACATGAAACAAATATTGCTGTCTCTGAAGGAATAAAAAACAGGATGGGTATTTTTCATATGAATTGAAAAAGGTAGTTAGCCCTGGGAAGCTTATGGCTAATTTGAACAACGTATTGGCAAGATTGAAAGCAGTTCGATGCCACTAGAAACACACTTGAACTTTATTATTTCCTCTTTGGTTTCTTTTACCCATTCCCTTTGTTTTCTTTCTTTTGATTTTTCTGGCATTTAAAAAATTTAATCATTATAAACAGATTTGGCTCTATCTCAAGTGACTTAGATAGTTAATGAGATTTAGGTTAAATTGGCCAACAATATGATCATTCCAACTTTATAGGATTTATAACAAGTACGTCACATTCCAACTCCCAGCACAGTGAGGATTTTATAATGGCAGCATCTCCTTTTCTATTTCTAGCACTAGCTTTTTCCAGAGAGTGAGTGGCAAGTGCGGTGTGGTAGGTAGGGAACAGAAGCCATCTGTATAATATTTATGTATAGTAATGTCAGTAGACATTTTTAGTTGAATACTCATTAAAATGATGAAAATAAATTGTATACTTCTTATTAAAGAAATTTCAAAAGTACAGACTAGTTACAAAAGTGGTACAATGAACCACTGTGTATCCTTCATTGAGATGTATTAATTGTTTATTTCTCTTTCTCTCTGAATGTTGTTTTTAATTTTCTTTTCTTCCCCTTCCTCCTCCTTAATCTCCTTTTTTGTAGTATCATTCTCATTGTTTTATCATTGCCAACTCATTAGAAAGTAAGTGGCAGACATCAAATTCCTTCAACTGTGTAGACTTCATCATCAGTCTCCTAATAACAAGGCCATCGTCAAAACTATCTACAATATAAGTATCAGATTCAGAAAATATATCATAAATGCAAGTTCTCTTCAGTATTGTGTCATTCTATTTTATATAACATTCATATATAAAATAGATCTTCCCTAAATTAGTTTTCTTAAGTTTCTTTGTTCAAAATATTGAACTAATGGACTTGGGCTCATTAATCCTAAGAGTGTTGTGATACTATTTTCTACATAAGTAGTGCTCACAGTACAAAGTCCAATTTTCAGTTATCAAGAGACATTCCTTTTTCTTCTTTTCGTATAGTTAATCAATTAATTTTCAGCCTTGTTGTAAAAATTAAAAAGACAATTTATCATGATCTAATAGTATTACATATTATAAACTCCATATTCATATTTCACTAAATATCCTATTAAGGATTCAACTGAAGATGCAATCTAACATCACTATTTTTTTTAACCTACTATGCCTCCTTAACCATTTTCTGGAATACCTCCTCAATCTTTGTCTTTTATGACATGTATGTTTTTTCAGCAGTACACATCAATTGTAGTTTCAAACTGTCCCTTCATTTGTGGATTTCTGATTGCTTCCTTATGACTAGATTGAGGTTTTTGTTGCTTTATTGTTGGCAGAAATACCATGTGAGTTATGCACTCTCAGCCCACCACATCAGGAGACAAATATTTGTCCCACTCTTGGAATGTTAATTTTAATCACTGGACTATTGTCGTGCTATGGCTTGACGGTTTGGATGTATTCCCAAAGCTCATGAGTTGAAACCTTAGTCCCCGATGCAGCTGTGGAATAGGTGGGACCTTTAAGAGGTGATTAGGTCATGAGAGCTCTACCATCATGAACGGATTAATACTGCTATTGTGGGCGTGGGCTTCTGGTGAAGTTATAAGTTCACCCTCCCTTTACTCTCTGTGTCGTGTAGTCCCTTGCCCTTCCCCCTTCTGCCATAGGAACACCCTAGCCAGATGCCAGTGTCATGCTCTTAGACTCCTCAGCCTCCAGGACCATGAACCAAACAAACTTCTTTGTAAATTACTCAGATTATGGTCTTCTCTTATAGCAGCACAAAATGGATTAGGACAGATGGTATCTGTCAGATTTCTACACTGTAAACTCACCGTTTTTCTGCATCATGAATTAACAATCTTTGGAGAAATACTTTGAGGCTGTTGAAATATCCTGTTCCCATCAGACTTTGTACCAAATGGCTTTAACATTTGCTGATGACTTTGGCCTAAATCAATTATTACTATTGTGCTTGCTAAATGGTGATTTTACTGCCTCCATCATTCCTTTTACATTTATTAGTAGACATTATACCACAAGTAAGGCTTTTCATCCCCACTACCACTTTTTGAAGTTAATTTAATCCTGTATCTTGAAATCAGCATTACAAATGTTAAGCTATGGCAAAACCAGGGCAGAATATATATCTGGCATGTAATATATTGTGTGGCCCACTGGAAAGAAAACAACCAGAGTTTATTCTTTATTTTACTAATAACTTGAAAAGAATTTTTAAAAATCTCTTCATATATTTAATTTTTAGTATTTACACCTACCCAGTAAAGATTTTATACCATTTAATATCTAAGTTTTCTTTCAGTTTTAATGGTCTTTAACTCCTGGAAAAATTCATTCTGTGTTTATGTGCCCTAAAGGAGCCAAATAAATTTTTTTCTTTTCAGTCTTATTAATAGCCAAGTTGATTAATTGCAATTGGCTAAAAACTGGCAAAAAATTCCCTAACCCCATTAACTTATTTTGGATCTCATTAAACTTTTAAATTCTCTTGCTTTCCCTTTCCCTTGTCTATTTTGAGCTTGTTTTCAGCAGTGTCTCTTCTCTGGCAAGCATATTTGGAAAACGCACAGATTGAGCACCAGTGTGGGAGGAATTATACAGCTAAAAAACATCCCACGAAATGATCATGGGTATTTCAATTTGCCTGAGGATTAATTATAGCCCTATAATCCCCATATCAAGGCAGTCTGTGAGTTAGAGGCTGGGCTGAGAGAGTTGTCATCCTAGTAATGACATTTAAGGCGAGTGATTTACTAAAACACAATCTGTACCAATTTCAACCTAAATTTTAAAACAAGTCATCTAAGTACTAAGAAAAATGGTCCCAGACGCATTCCTAGCAAATTCTGTACTATAAATTGTAAGCCTATGAGAAAATGTGGTTGAAAGCTGAGGGCTGACAAAATGTATAACCTAGGGAACCATTTAGGAATGATAATTTTAACATCATTACTAATACTTCGCAAGAATCCAGAGAGCAGAATAAAACATCATTCTGGGGATAATACAAGGAATATAAAATAGTTAAGCATATATTAAAGGTTTAAAATTTTAATCCCTTAAACATCAATGTATTTGGCTGTTTCTCATGACATTGTTCAAACAATAAATTACATATGTACAAAACAATTTGTTGCTTTCATGACTGTCATTTTTTAAACTGTAAATTTTACATCAAAAAGCATTACAGACAGTTTACAATTTCACTGTGATTTTCCTAGAAATAAAATATTCAAAAAACATATGATAAATGGTCACTCTGTTTAATCTATTATCTATGTTTGATATGTATATGCATACATGTGCATAAATATATCTCTATAAATATATGAGCATAATAAATCATTTTTATTGAGTATTTCCTTGAAAGAGGTGCTGAGCACTTCACATGAATTATGATTTTATATAAATTATGCCCTTTAGTCTTTTTAATGTGTGTATGAGATATCTATGCTTGTTGTTTCATTTTGAGTCTAGGAGACCAAGTTAAAAAGTGATTAAGTAAGTTGTTCAGAGCCAGATCAAACTGTAGAACCCACTGGGATACAGGTTATTTGTGGTCAAATTTCATGGCTTTTGTTCTTAAAACTTATTTAATCAAATGGCTTCATATGGACACATTTCTTTTTTTTTTCTTCCAAGGCATACTTATACCATATATATGCAAAATATACAATTTGCATTTGTTTTTACATTTACATATATCTATATTATACACCCACAAAAAACATTATGTACATCTACATTTACTGTTTGTTTCTTCAACAGTATGAGGAGCCCAGATGGCCCATGTGGGCTGCCCTATACACAATTTGATGAAACAATGGAGATATTCTCTAGGGAAAGCCTTGTGCTCTAGGTCACTATGACCTTCAAACTCTATTAGCTCAAGCTTCTGGGAATAGGAAGGAAAACATTTCTCTGTGGTCTATTAATGTGAAAATGAGAGGGGCTGACCCTACCTCTGTCCTGTGTTTCTCAGTTCTTATTGTGACGTCACTAGCACAATATATTGCTTGTGGATTAGAGGTTCAAACAGTATTCTTTAAGACAACAACCCAAAAGCAACAAATGTTGTCTCCTAGCTGGGATTACAATGCAGCCTTCAGTAGGTCATTGTATTATTCCATCAAGCCAGCTGTTCCACAGTGACAAGATACCTGGCAATACCAATAAATTTCATGGGTGTGAGTTCCCTATTGCACTTTCTATTGCTATATAATGAGGTATGTGTTAGTAGTAATTAACAAGACTTTTCGAAAGTCGATGAATAGTAATTCTGGTAGAAATGTTGCAGAAAATAAAGGAAAATCTCTATTAACATGTGTAAAACCAAGGACTTCTCTTTTCATAATTAAAAGAGTTTGCTGTAATCAACTTGCCACCAGGTAGATGGCTAGTTCTTCATGGAATAGTGCCATAAAGGATAATTAGTAACCGTCTCTCCTTTAAAAACTGAGCCTTCAGCAGGGGCAATAACCCAACAACCTTGGTGGTAGTATTCTATTTTGTTGACCCTACACAAAGCGTCTAATCCTGCTGCCATGATCACTTTGTTCATGAACCATTATGTAATTGTGGGTAGCTTTGATTGACAGGCACATTCTGTGTTACCTTTTCCACCTGATTACTGAGAACTCCTCGGCAGAGAATGCTTTCTGTTAAGCATTTGCATGAAACAAATTTCTTTCTATCCTTCGCCCACTTCCAAAGGGCCAACCAACCTGCTTCTTCCAAAAATATTCTTGTTGCTAGTTTTCTTATCCTTGCTAAGACTGTAGTAACATGACTACCCCTTTAACCATGGTCTAGGGGTCATTGGAGATTATTTCAAGTAATTTAACTTTATACACAAAATACACAACCAGATATAAAATCTGAAGTTGTACTCACTGAGAGGCTTTCCTTTCACTACCCTTTTGAGTGCCACTTTTAACTGAAGTTGTATTTGACATTCACTTTCTGCTGGTATCAGTGTAACAGGTAGAGCCATCTCTATAGCAGGGCTTTTCCTCTTCTGTTAACTGATCATTGGAAACTCCCTGTGATGCCAAAGATTGCAACTGGACAAAAGTGGCAATGAAATTCCTATGTATTTAACTATTTTCGTTCTCATTTCACTTTGGGTTGTTGAATTGGTGTAATGATTGAGGGAGCAAGAGGCAGTAAAGGGGAAGGCACAGGTATCATGAGAGCACTGAGGCACCAGGCTATGAGGTTTACTTGTATCTTTCATGTCTGTTCTCAGATTGCATTATACATACGATTTCCATTGAAACTTGGAATTCTGCTGTGCACATACAACCTTATGATTGCAAAAGACGATGCTTACTTCATGATATTGGTTTTAGGATCAAAGTCACTTCAGGTGACATGGCCAGGTGTTCAGTCTTCATTAGAATTGCCAGAAGCAAGCCCAAAAAGTACTTGCTGGTAGCAGAGTGTATGGTCTTACACCAAAATCCTGGGGTTATGAGAGCTTCTTAGAAAACCACATAACATCTGTGTCTGTCACGGGCATCTCAAATGAAAAGTAGCTTACACTGGACCTTAGAGCTGTTTCTAAGAGGAGACTTCTATCATTCCATGCCTCTCTTAAAACTGTGGGCTGGTTAATGGATTGGTACACAGAACCAAACGCAGCTTGTGTTGCCTCCAAAATCCAGATGCCCCATAAGATTAGCTCCATTTTGTTTCTTCATGAGCTGTACAAATTGAAGCAATAGGTGTCTAGTTTTAGAGATAAATTATTGTCATACCCAAGAACTGTGGACACTAGACACTTCACCAGTATTGCAGGTTTCTGAATTTCCATGAGTTCGATCTTTTGTCCTTGGGCATGCAAGTGCCTTACTAAAATATGCAGGGCACTTGCTACTTCCTGCTCAATAGATTTAGTTAGTATAACTACCATGAACTCAATGGATTGGTGTAATACTCTAGGTAGTAAGGCAAACAATGTCCTCCCAAACAGTATTATAACAAAGAGAAAGAGAACTGACAAACTTCTAAGGTGAGACACTGAAATGCATCTCTGTCAGTGCCATGTGAATGTGAACTGCTTTTGAATATCTTTGCTGATGGGAATTAAAGTATTTACTAGGTCAATAGCCATATACTTGGTATTTATCTAGTAAATATACCATATCCTGAACCTTGGCTGCAATGGACTTCCTCACCTGTTTATGTTTACAAAAATTTACATTCAGTCTCCAAGATCAGCACCTAGCAAATAAATCATTTAAATGTGGATGCCGTAAAAACTACAAATGTTGTGGCTTTCCAGTATGTGGCGGTGGCACTAATTCTGCAATTCTAGCAAGACACAGTTCCAGTTTTGACTTGCTATTCACATAGGCTGCATCCATTCAGTGACTTATTTCTGGCCTTTCCTACCCAATACGTCTTGCTCCACTGATCTGGAAACCAAGAAGAAGATTCTGCAGGTTTCAGTCTCCTGATTTGGGTTTGCACGCTCACTGTGAAACATGCTGGACCAAGTCTCCACCTCTCATCTGACCTCTGTGAGCCCCTGCTCTGACCAGTGACTACTGTGTTTTGTTTGGTTTTGACTTTGAGTATTAACATCAGTTCAGAGCTAGTATTTAATATTCAATGAAAAATCATGGCATTTTCTCTACGCATCACACACTGACACTTTGGTGCATGACAGCCAATCCCACTGAGAAGGCTTAGAGGAAGAGTCGTAATACACGCATGGGGCTGTTTTGCAGGGATCTTTGTCAAAGAGACATAGAAATGCCTTCAATCAAGGTGCCAGGACTGTCAAGTGGATGCTAGTCTGAAAATTCCCACAATGATAATAACTGAGTTAGCTTTCTGCCCATTAGACTCAAAATGGTCCCGCTTATATATCTTAACAATGCTCCCAATTATTTCATTCTTGGGACCTGATCTTCAATTTCCCATCACCACAGACCCTTCCACCTATCATGGTTAATGTATCTACCTTGCTTCTGATGGAAGAGCAGCCCCGCCTGGCCTTTTCAATGACAAGATTGGGTTATTTCCTTCAGATCCAGGTCCCATGCAGCCTCTTACAACTTCATCTGCAGGTTACAGAGGACAGCAACCCTGAAGTTCTTCCAGCATGAGACATAATTCACTTCCAAATGTGCCTCTTTTGACTTGATTATGAGAGGGTCTTGTTGACTGTGGCCTACCACTGAATCTGAACTTCAATAACAAACCTAGGATGTTATTAAAGCTAACTGCTGTTACAGTACGTCCTGAATCTTGTGATAAATGCACTGATATGAGTAAATTTGAACCAATCCAACATTATGTTGCATTTCTTTAGCCTAATACCTTTAGAATATATTCTTATGCATTCATTTTAGACTCTTAAACTTCTCAGTATATACTTGTCTATCTGGAGGAGTTGGGATCCAGCTTTCATTATAACATGCAGGAAAATGACCATTTTGAAGACTATAGATAGATAGATAGATACACACATATGGTATATATACACATTATGTGTATATACATATTGTATATATTTTCTGAATCTTATTAGCTGTCTCCATAAAAATTTACTAATATTTTTAAAGTAGTTGATTGAGGCCGGGCGCGGTGGCTCACGCCTGTAATCCCAGCACTTCGGGAGGCCGAGGCAGTCGGATCACGAGGTCAGGAGGATCGAGACCATCCTGGCTAAGACGGTGAAACCCCGTCTCTACTAAAATTACAAAAAATTAGCCAGGAGCGGTGGCGGATTTTCTCAACTACTGGAGAGGCTGAGGCAGGAGAATGGCGTGAACCCGGGAGGCGGAGCTTGCAGTGAGCCGAGATCGCGCCACTGCAGTCCGGCCCCGGGCGAAAGAGCGAGACTCCGTCTCAAAAAAAAAAAAAAAAAAAAAAAAAAAGTAGTTGATTGATAGATCAAGACTAATTATGGGTATATGTCTATACCCATAATATAATTATGGGCGTGTGTGTGTGTGTGTATAAGAGAGAGGAAGACATATAACCATATACCTGTGAGTATACGTCTCTCTCACAATGTGTGTATATATTTTATATATAATATATATGTATATATAGAGAGTTAATTGATAGATACAGACTAATTATGGATATAGACACAGTTCTTTTTAATTTAAAATTATTAGTAAAATTTTATAGAGGTAGCTAGTAAGATCCAGAAGAGATGTACAATATGTCCAAGTATTCACAAATGTAATTAGTATGGATGGGATTCAGATTCAGTACTTGCTCAAAGCATTGCGCTACTCACCACTAAATGAGTAGTGGTGGTCTCATATGAAAGTTGATTTCCTCCATTTTCAACATAATGATAGGAGCAGATTGTATCTGATTTAAAACCTTAAAGATAGATTAAAAAAAAATCAACATAAAATTAGCATTGACTATACTGGACCATAAGTGACAAATTGTCTGAAAAGTGCAGAATTGTTCCTAGCATTTGAAAATAGAAAACTAAAATTCTGATAATAAATACAACTGTGCCAGCATTGAGAACTATTTAAATTGGAACAAATCAAATGATCCTTCCTAGAATTCATAGTTGAAACCTCAGGTGTAGAATCAGGCTAAAAGACGGAAAAAATAATCTCTCAAAACATGAAATATTTGGAAAAGGAAGAAGAGAATTATAACATAATTTCCTAATTTGGCTACTCAGACAATGTAGCAAATCATGGCAGGAACAGCCAATCATTGGTTGTCAAAGGAATCTGTGAAAAAAATCTCAAGAAATATTATCCAGGTTCAGAAATAAATGCTTAATGCCCTGGGATTATAAATAGCACAAATAGACTCCTCTAGTAGGTTTTGTTTTTTGAATTTTTTCCATTTTGATAAGGAATTTCAGACTCAATTTGCTTTTATTCAGCAAAGACTTTAAAAAAATGTATACATATTACAAGGCTATGCCAAGAATCATTGCTCCTATCTCATGGAGACATGTGTTGGGAAATATAGGGTCTCTCTGGACATTCTTGTGAATCATCATATTGATGACACAATCAGAGTGAAGGGTGTTGGAAGGCTGTGGAAATATTGCATCATATTATCCAAATCAGGAACAATGAATTCATGCATAAGAGAAGAAAAAATTATCTTCAATGTTAGCAAAATGTTATGAACCATTGAAGCACTTAGAAGATAAAATACCAAGAAGAATTAAGTAAAATAATTTTATTGTGATAGCTTTCCAAACTAAAAGTAAGTAATGTGTGTAAGAGATTTTTTTCCCATTTTTAGTAATACTGCTTGAGTTAATAATGAAGTAACTTGAAAAGCAAAGATTTTGCTTAGGAAGCACAACACTAGAGTCAGGGCAATTAGAAACAGGTGCACAGCAGCACATAACATTAGTAGTCATTTCACTAAAATATTACTCACTCTCCATGTAACCTTGGTCACCAGGACCATCATGTCGCAGTCCATCATATCGCAGTCCCTCATATCGCAGGTGATCCCTGCAAGGTCAGAAACAGACAAGTGGCAAAAGAAGCAATTTGGTCAATGATTTACCTGCATCCCAAAACTGACCCCATTAAACACAGAAAGTGTAAACAGATTAATTTCTATGGAGAAGAACGTATTCCAGGAACTATACAAAACCAAAGCAAGCAAAACAACAATAAACAAACAAAAACAACAACAAAAAACCTAAAACCTCACCAGGGCTGGGTGATTTCACAGGGGCAATATTCTAATTCCTCATATATCAGCTAGATTCTATTCCTGAAAAACTGTATCTGCATTACTGTTTAACAGCGTACAGGAGGTATTAGTCAATGAAATTAGGCAAGATAAATTAATCAGATGATTAATAATTGATAAAAGCAACAAGCAAAACATTCTATATATGCAGATAAAATGATAGTATAACTGCAAAATTCTATATAAACAATGATAAAACCAACTCAAACAATGAAAGAATTTAGTAAGTATTACAAATAATAGCTTCCATATCACAAAAAAAAGTTAAAAAGATACAACAGTAGAGAGTACACAATTTACAATTTCAATAACGATGGTTCTCCTTGAAAATAAACTTAGTGAATTTGCTAATAAACTTTTTTAAATGTGTAAAAGTAGCAGGAAGAAAATTTAAAACCATCCCTGAAAAACATAAACGTAGATTTGAACAAACAGGAAAACATTTATTATTCTCAAAGAGAAAGACTCAACATTATATACCTGTTAATTCTATGAAAAGTTAAGTTACATTACAAAGTTAACACAATCTCAATAAAAATACAAAAAAAACTTTTTAAAAGTTAGAAAACAGGCTTCTGCTTCTTCTAGAATTTTGCTTACTGGAAAAACTAGAGTAGAAATACTTTATCTTTCTAAGTGTAATAAAAAAATCTTGAAACGTATACATACATATTTTTTATGTGAAGATTCTAAAGAAGAAATGGAGAGAAGAAATCAGGCAGACCCAGGACCTTGGGAACTGAGGAACATCGCAGTGGTGGGTGTATTGGTCCATTCTTACACTGCTATAAAGAACTGCCAGAGACAGTATTTTTGCCGAATACTCATCACCTCAATCTAATCATGAGAAACCATCAGAGACATTGAAATTGAGGGACAATCTACAAAATAACTGACCAGTACTCTTCAAGAGCATCAAGGTCATGATACACAAATAAATCTGAAGAAATTCTCCCAGACCAATGGAGACTAAAAAGACATGAAAACTAGGGGATGGTGAGTTAAGGAGACAAACGGTAAAGGTGAAAAGATGTGGTTATCTCAGATGAATGTCTAAAAAGTAAATGTAAACCATGAGTTAAACAGGTAATAAATGAAGTTAGTAACATTGTATTGTGTACTGAAAATTTGTTAAGAATGTAGATATCTAATATCTTCATTGTAATTATCTAATATCTTAGTTATTTGTCTGTTTATTCATCCACTAGAATAAAATTTCAATGGGAAAGGAAATCTAATCTATCATTTTTACTACTATGCCCCAAATCCTAGAAAGTGAAGGATGTAATAATTGCCTATTGAACATTTTTAATTCATCACAGAAAGTGAATCCACATTTGGTAGCATTGTATGCTTGTACAATTAAAAAATAAAAGAAAATAGGTGCAGGTGCAGGAAGACTTGCAGATTTGGTGACTGAAGAAAAACACAGCTCCCATCTCATGGCAAAGTCATTAATGAATCATAATGCAAGGGAAGAGAAGTAGAAAATTTGGAAAAAGGCATATTATGAAATAGCACAGAAAGCCTGCGAGGGTTAGCTGACTATAATATAACATTGAGTGACCATTTTGTTTTGAAATTTATGAATATATGGTGACACTTAGCTGCCAAATTTAATGATGTTATGCAGTATTGGTCATTATAAGCACAATGAAGACAAATTTCTGAATCATCTAGGGTTAAAGTGTTTCTAGGAGGAAAAGGAGGGAATGGAAGTGAGAATATTTCCAAGGGGATAGACTTATTCATGATCCAGGCAATATAAACCAGGTAAGTCAAGAAATAAAGACAGAAGTAATTGATAAAGAGAAAATGAAGGGTCTGTGTGAGGTTGCATTTTTTTTATGTGGCGCTTAAGCAAAGGAAGCAAAGCAGTAAGAGATTATTGTGATTGGAGAATGGGACAACTGGATTTTTCATATAAGAGTGTTAGCGAATTCAGGTAATTTCTATATGTTGGTGGCTCAGAAATCATGGAGGAAAGTCATGACCATGAGCACATAAAGGAAGAAATAGTTCAACATTTCAGAGAGCCATGGCAAGAGCACTAAAGTCTCTAAGAATGAAATGAAGTGTTGAGAAGGTGAATGTAAATCATTAGGGAAATGTGTTTTTGAAGAATAGAAGAAATGAGCTGGCGCTTATTTAATGACAGAAAAAGTAGAAACTCTGAAAATCTGTAAAACCAGATGTCATAATTTCAAAGGAGCAGTAGAAGCTTTGGAGATTGGTGTGGAAGGTGACACTGAGCAACAGGGAGGACAGGAGACCCACCTCTGGAACTGAGGTTCTGGGATGCAGAAAAACATGCAACTTCCTGCAAAAATGGCTACCAAGGATGCTGAATCTCCATCATGATTCCTGGTTGCGGTTAATGCCAGGAAGTGCAGGGAAATTCTGAGAAGAGGTTGCAGGTATAGGGATTGTGCAGATCTTCAACCAGAGTGTTGCCCCTGGAATTTTCTTGTTAAATTCTACTGCTAAAAGACAATCGTAATGGCAAACGCCCCAGAAAATCCTCATAGACAAGCCATGACAGCAGAAAGTAAGGTTAAAGACACAGCCAGTCACCACTGTTATTCCAGTGCAAGATACGAATCCTGAGAGGAAGTGTCCTAAATGCATCAAAAGGAAAGACCTTCATTACATGTTCTATATATTTTTTTGGTTCCTTTATAATCTCTGCTTTAAAGCCAAGTAAAGGACAACTTGGTACTTCTATTGTCTGTTACCCTAACACTGCATATGATAAAATAAATATACTCTTTTAGCATTCATGTTTTAATTCATATTAGCCCTATTATAGCGACAGATTGTTCAATGTAGTGGATGAAATAACTCATAGTTAATTAGTGGTTGAAACACAGTAGAATCCAACTCCCCCCCTTACCTCACAGCCTCTTAGAACACTGCCCCAGTCATCCTATCTCACTTAAAAATTGAACCGATTTTTACAATTACAACTTAATGACTCACCTTTGAGTAAACATTCAAAATCAAACTAATTTTTCAATAACCACAGTAACTCTAGTTAGAATTAACTGGAATTATTATAGTTATTAAAGTTGTCAGAGATAATTAAAATTTCTGGTATAAATGTCTAATTTACTTCTCATATGCATGAGACTGCTTCAATAATTTAACCACTAGTAAAATTCTGATAGCCCCAAGGGCTAAGATTCATGTTGAAAAATAACTGAGGAGGTGAGCCACCAAAGAGAATTTGACAACCATTGGTTGGTGCAAAAGTAATTGCGGTTTTGCCACTAAAAAGTAATGGTTAAAAAAAAATACAGTTACTTTTTCACCAACCTATAGAACCAGGTTATTGAATGGATGCTGAGTGCTTCTTAAGCACCTGAATTCACTCACTCAACATGTACGTATGGAGCATCTGCTTGGTGCCAGGTCTGCTGCAGGCACTCGGAATTCATCTGCATTTGGATGGAAGACCTCTGCCCTCAAGCAGTTCATTTTTAGCAGGTCAGGAGAGGACCCAGGGGAACCCTGATAACAAGTTCTGAATATTTTAGGAAAATGACAGGGCACATTAGAAGGTGGCCAGCGATGTGTGAAAAAGACAACCCCGAGCCAAGAACACAGATGGGGGAGAAGCCGATGAGGTATGAAGGAGGATTTTGCAGGGTGTGCTCAGGATAGGTCTTACTGAGCTCCCGAGGTTTTATTAAATAGCTGTGTGATAAAGAGGCTGACTCCAGTTTCTGCTGCTTGAAAACATTTAAGCCTCACTGGCCAAATGTTTGTCCTGGGCCTCTCTTCAGCTTGTCCCACATCTGGACAAGCTGAGAAGAAAGCTCAAGTGCTCCCACTTGGACACTGGCAGGAGATTCAGATCACGCAAGCCCTCAATCTGGGCACCTTTACCCAACCCCAACCCCCTGCTCACCACAGTAAAACCCCCAGCTATGCACCTTTCCTTGCTCTTTCACACTGTTTGAGACCTGCTTAAGAGGTTTGCCCTGTTCTGCCATTATGTAAATACACCTTGTTATACTGTCTTGGTGTGTGTGTGTGTGTGTGTGTGGCATCATTGATCTCAACATTGAACCAAATTTGGGGGCCGCGAGTCCACCCTGTCTTTGCAGGGGTTCTTAACAAGGGACAGCTAGGGGGGCGAGGTACCTGGCACATTCCTGGAACAGTGCAAATTGGCATCCGCCTGAAGTAAGGGGAAAAATAACTAGAGAAAGAATCAGATTGTAAATGATGGGAATGGGAGATGTTAGATCACAGGAAGCTTTTTGGCTTTTTTAAGAACATAGACTTTACTTTGAATGAAATAACCATTGCAGGGCTTTGAGCGGAGGATGGGCATGGTTTACTTTTGTTTATTTAGTTTACAGTAGCTGAATTGAGATATAATTCACATGCCATAAAATGTATTATTTTCAATGCCTACAATTCAGCGGCTTTTAGTATATTCATAAAAATATGGAATGTCCCATGAATTTCCATGTCATGTTTACACAGGGGCCAGGTTCCTCTTCTCTGTATGTTCCAGTTTTAGCAGATGTGCTGCTGAAGTGAGCACCTGAGGCTGGCTTGCGTGGGGACCCTCTCGCTGCTGCGGAAGGAGCCAGGCTCTGGAGCAGGGGAGCTGGCGGGTGCGCGTGGGAATCCAGTGACAGAGGACGGTGTTTCCAGCTGCAATGGTGAGTAGCTGGGAAATGGTAACAATCCATGAGGTTCTGGATCTTCCAAAGGCAGAGACAACGGGATTTCCTGATGGGTTGGGTGTTGCAAGTGCTGTTTGTTCTGTTCAAAATTAGGACGTCCTAGACGGGAAACGGGAACTGAAAGGGCAGCCAGTTACCGCCCACGGACGCAGAAAAAGGAAGAGCTGTTTTCTGCTTTTAGTGGCAGGAGAAACCTGATGTGGTGCAGATTTTGTGAAACGAAGGAAGGTCTCCAACTTCCAGGCCCGAAGTCCCTAGACTCACGTAGAGCCGAGGGGTGGAGCCACTGTTTCCCTGAGAGAGAGTACCACTAGCCCAAGAACCAGATAGAGACTATGTCCACAGCAAGCCACTCAGGACAAAGGGAATAAAGAGACAGACGTCCAAAAACCAGTACATAGTGATGACCAAATAAATGTGTGGCTACACACTGTTTTAGGAATTTATACTGTGTTACTGCACTGCTGTTCTATTTTGCTTTTCTCTCCCTATCTGTTGCTCTCTATTTTTCTGTCTCTCTATTCCTCTCTCTCCATTTCTCCCTTTCTATTCCCTCTTGCTATCTCTCTCTGTATGTATCTGTCTCTCTCCATTTCTCTGTCTCTTTATATATCTCTCTATATTTCTTCCTATCTATTCTCTCCCCTCCAGCTTTCTCTCTTTCCCTCTGTGTGTGTGTGTATCTGCTTGTCTGTCTCTGTTTCTTTCTCTTTCTATACATATATTTCTTTCGCTCTCTTAATTGTTAAAGCACTTCTTTGAAGGCTGTCTAACATTATCTTGGCTCAGTAAAAGAGACAGGAGAGTTTCCACACCACAGTAGGTATTGGTGGGAGGATCAGAGCTCCTGGATTCTCTGTCCGGCCATGGCAGCGCCAGGTTTGCGGGGTGCCATATACCCCCAGGAGTTACTGAAATGGCAATGAAGTTGGAAAGTGAAAAACCAACAAGGAAAATTTGAAGACAACCAAAGTGGACAACCCCCACAACCAAGGTGGACAACCCCCCCACAACCAAGGTGGACAACCCCCTCCAACCAAGGTGGACAACCCTCCCCAACCAAGGTGGACAACCCCCCCCCAACATTTTTTTTAGGGCTTTTGATTACCAGAGGCCTTATTTTATATGGCAATTAAGAAGACTTGAAAAGTACCTCATCAAGGTCAGGCGCGGTGGCTCACGCCTGTAATCCCAGCACTTTGGGAGGCCGAGGCGGGTGGATCACGAGGTCAAGAGACCGAGACCATCCTGGCTAACACGGTGAAACTCCGTCTCTATTAAAAAATACAAAAAATTAGCCAGGCGTGGTGGCGGGTGCCTGTAGTCCCAGCTACTCGGGAGGCCGAGGCAGGAGAATGGCGTGAACCCGGGAGGCGGAGCTTGCAGTGAGCCGAGATTGCACCACTGCACTCCAGCCTGGGAGACAGAGTGAGACTCCATCTCAAAAAAAAAAAAAAAATAGAAAAGTACCTCATCAAACAAGCATGCATAAATGAAAGCATTGGGGAGCCAATTGGGTACAGTTAATTTTTATTTACACTCTCTCTCCACTCTGGCTTTATTTATCGCCAAGTAGCTGGAGGGGTAGAATCCACCAGAGGGTAAATCACTAGTTCTGTGTGAACGGGAATATCTTTCTAGTACATTGTTCAAAAATAGATCACAAGTGAGATTGACACAATTCAGAGCAGCTTGTTCTCCTCCTTAAATGTCATGGTAATGCACTCCTGTCTCGACAAAGTCCAGGTTGCACAGCCGTGCACAAAGGCTGGGGTTCTCAAGTTCCTCTGGCGCCCACTTGAGGAAATGCTGTGTTCAAATCCAGAAGGAAAATGCCAAGGTTGAAGTTAAGATGAAAAAAACACCAATTAGAAAAACAATCTGCTAAGCCTGCTATATCCAGTTCAACAACCATCCTTTATTATTTGGGGACATTAAAACTAAAAGGGCCATTGGTGCTGTTATGAAAGATTAGATTGATTTTTAAATCCTCCACACACTCAAGACTTCGTTGCTTCTTGCCAAAACACAGTCATCCTGCACTGAAACAGAACTGATCTTTGAAGGTTGATGAAATACACAGGGCTGGCTGCATTCCATTGGAGAAGATGCCTTATAAGGTGAACAGAACCCAGGGTTTGTCAAAGATGTTATGGTATACCAGGGCTGCTGATATAAGAATATATAGAGTAAGAATTGAGACATAAATTATGGATTTTAAAACTTCTTGAATTTTTTTAAGATCTATAGATCATGCATAAAACTATACTTAAAAGTAAGAGAGAATGACAGCTATTGTCATTCCAAATCTTCTCAAAGTAAAGATTCTAACGTATATCTTCTGGGATCACAAGCATTCTCAAATGCACGGGAAAACAATTGTAATCCGTTCCCAATAACATGAAAATAAGTCAGAGTGCAAATTCCTTGGGAGATGTATTGAGGAGTTGACAACGTGTTGATATTTACATACAATGTGTTGTAGATTTTTTCTGTATTTGCATTGTGTTGCGTGCTATTTATTAAACATAAATCAATTTCAGTTTCTCTAAGACAAACATGAAAAATTCTGATAGCCATTTCTAATAGAAAAACTATCCCACCTCTTTCACCTTTCAGAAAAGCTTGAATGGAAATGCCCAGATCAAAAGTATGATTTTTTTCCTTCTTTGAATTTTGCTTTTTGTGTTGGTTTGTATTTATATATTTATTGTCTCCTTCTGAGGTGACTTTGCTGCTTGGAGGGACTGCTACAAAGGAGTATTTT
Organism: Homo sapiens; assembly: GCF_000001405.40. Classification (NCBI taxonomy): domain Eukaryota; kingdom Metazoa; phylum Chordata; class Mammalia; order Primates; family Hominidae; genus Homo; species Homo sapiens. The sequence continues at coordinate 4,512,039 of NC_000010.11, read as the reverse complement.
ATCTTAAATTGCATTTAGACTTGGTTTTAAGAAGAGCTAATGACTTGAGTACTAAGCGTTAGAATTGGTGCACTCTAGTTAAGTTATACTCCCATAAAGGTGTTGAATTAGGAGTTTTTAAGCAGGTTTAATGTGTACCGAAATCTTCAGATTGTCCTGTTCATTGTTAGAGCATTTGAGTGTTTCCTTAATAAAGGAGTTTATAACAGAGACCATTTGGTACATATGTTTCTAATTTACTCACACTTAGCTCATTGAAGCCTGATTTTGTGGAGGAAATATCACGTCCAAGAAGACATTGGGAGGCACTTTTCTTGGAAAAGGGAAGTAATGTTCTTTTATTTTATAGTTCACAAACGGACTTCTAAAGATTTGAATGTATTTCAAATGTATGAAATCACAAAGTTCATGCATGTCCTAAATTTGGCCAGCCGTTCTTCTATTTCTATTAGAATGATGTCACAGTGTGGGACTCAAGGCAGAGAAACAACTAAACCTCTCCACCAAAGAAGCAGAAATTGAATTTCCAGTATTCATTTCTCTTGCAACTCCATTAGATTGAAGCCAAATCACCTGCGGGCAGACATTGTCGATCCATGATATCATATTTCCCAGTAATTATAAAATGAAGTGACAGCTCTGAGCAAATTTAGTAGTTTTTACAATTCATTTTAATGTTTTTTAAGAGATTTATTGTTCTGTAGAATCCTATCAACTCTCAGTAAATAGTGTGTTTAATTTTTGGAAGCTCTGTTTTGGAAGCTAAATCATGCATTCCTTTCTGGATTATTGGAGAGAGAAGGTGATGTTGAGTTCAAAGGTTTGAAAGTCACCTAGTTCGGTGCTTCCCACATTCTCGGCTCTGTGATCTTGTACAGAATATTTTGTCTCTGCGTTTCAATTTCTTCAACTATAAAATGGGGGGTAAAACTCACCTGCAATTTTGGTGAAACAAAGTAAATGAGACCATGCCTGCAAAACAAGGAACAGCAGTGGGCATTCCTAGTCCCTTGACAAATGCCAGTTTCCTTCTTTCTTACTTCATCTCACAAGGAATCTCCCTATCATTATCAATAATAATCCCTATAGTGAGTTTTGCCAGATAACAAAAACCTACTTTTAATAACATTTCGAGCAGTAACATTTCTATGGCAACTGATATTTATCATCTTATTGGAGAATTTAAAGTGTCCAATGAATAGTGAAACTACATTTTAAACTAGAATTCAAGCATACTTAATTAAAGTTTTAATCATGCATGATAGACCTTTTGCCTCTCTACAAAAAAAAGAAGAAAATTGGAGGGCGTCTTGCCACACTCCTCTGTTTTTCTCTCCCTCGCCGTTCCTTTTATCACAGCCATTTCCCTGAGAATCCTATGAGCCCTGACGGCACACAACGGAGGCTAGGTGCTACTCCAACCAGAGCCACTGCTGGGAAGGCCACTGCGTGGCTGTTGAGTCCAGCACAAATAACTTTTTTGAAAGAGACAAGATTGGAAAGGGTGTGTGTGGATGTCCGTATGTATAGTAAATTTTAAAACTGTGTTTTCCTAATACTTCCATGTTTCCACAATAAGGCCGTGAGCACCCTGCCCAGGTGACCAGGTGCCTGCCCAGCGTGATGGGGTGCTTCCTGCCATAGACTCCCCTTCTTGCCTTCCCCCCCTGGGACCTAGTGACACTCAAAAGCATGATAAAGCCTCTCAGGCCTTTTCCGTGTTGCATTTCACCTGACCCCCAATAAAGTGACTTACCCACGGGTTCTCTCTCTGTATGTGTGTCTCTCTCTTTTTCTCCGTATGTCTCCCTGTTTGTATCTCTTTCTCTTTTTCTATGTCTCTCCCTCTGTCTCTCTGTGTGTGTCTCTCACTCTCTATCTCTGTGTCTCTGTGTGTGTCTCTCTCACTCTCTGTCTCTGTGTGCATGTCTATCTCCATGTTTCTTTCTATCTCTCACTCTGTCTCTGTCTCTCCCTCTCCGTGTCTCTCTCTCAGACACTCTCTTTTCCTCTCCCTGTCTCCCTCTCTGTCTCTGTCTCTCCCTGCCTCTCTCCCAGCCTCACAGGCTTGGTGCCTCCCCTCCCTGGGCACTCGTCCCATCTGGGCCCTGTGTGTGTGTCCTGCCCCGTCCCTGTCCCTGGCCTTGAGTGGGGCCCACCTTCTAGTTCCACGCTCCTCTGAGTGTAACTTCCTGGGCTGTGTTGGAAGGATCCTTAAAGCCCCCACATGGGCTCCTCTCCCATCTACCACACACCGTAACTTAACACAGTGTAAGGTTCACCCTAGTGTCTACATTCTGCACCCTCTGAACCTAAGGTTTCACTGACATGAGCCATAGCCCTGGCGTACATTGTTCTTGTTCTGAGGAGGCACAGGGAAGTGGCACCCCCAGGCACAAACCACAGAACTGGGCTCCCGCATCTTAGATACGAGCTGCTGTCTCCTACTGTCTCTGTCGCTCTCTGAGGGGCCTCTTAAGCTGCTGCCTGGCCCCACTGCTGCAGCACAAAGGCCTCCGCTGGGGCCACCTTCCGCCCTGTGTCCCAGGCATCTGCAGGCCTGTGCTCTGATGGCCACGCACTGCTCTCCACGTTTGGGATGACCTCAGACGGGAGATTTTGCTTCCCTTTTCCTCCAGCCTCTAACCTCCATGTACTCAGCCACCCTCAATCTCTCCATCTCAGAGGACTAAGCTCTATCTGTGCTGCTTGGAGAAGGCAGTGTGGACCAGCCAGACAAAGCCTGGCCACAGCTGCACAAACCTCAGAAGGAAATCCGCCTCTTATTAGCTGTGTGCCTGCAGGTGAGTTTCCAGAATGTCCTGGCCCTCACTTCCTTCTCTGTAGGATGATGAACACGGCCTGCACCCAGCTGAGGGTGGCCATAGGCATGACAATTACACATTATTTAAGATCGTTTCTCACCTATGTGCCTCTGTTCTGCTCCTGGTTCTTATATGTCTACAATTTCCTACTGCATAAATGGCCTTTGTTAAAAATATGTTCTAACTTGCAGCTAATAGTGTTCAACTTTATAAATCAATGTGGAAAATCCCAGCTAAGACAGCTGTCTGCACAAGTGGCCTGGAACAGACCTTGCAAATGCAGCATTCCACATAGAGACAGTGCTTCCAATCTGTCCTACTCATGCTCTGGGCAAAAACCCATGTGCCAATTGTTACTCACATGACAGGGACTACCCCTGACAATACTTGGAGGGGCTTGTTCACTCAAGCAGGAAAATTGAGAAGGATTGAACAGTCAATGAGCAAATTTCCAATCTCTAGTAGGGTGATCGTAAAACGAAGACATTACAGAGGAGCTCGCAAAGTAGTTTTCATTCTCCCTTCAATGTGGAATGGATTACAGTATAGTTGGGCAGGAGGAGTTTAAAAAGAGTCACCTTTTTGGTCCGATTTGTATCTACATTTATGTATTCCATGTACATTCCCATGGGTTTCACATTCCTTTAGACTCCCTTTAGCCAGGCTTTGTTTGGCTGGTCCACACTGCCTTCTCTAAGCAGCACGGACAGAGCTTAGTCCTCTGAGATGGAGAGATTGAGGGTGGCTGAGTACATGGAGGTTGGAGGAAAAGGGAAGCAAAATCTCCCATCTGAGGTCATCCCAAATGTGGAGACTCCCTTTAGACTAGTTGTTCCTTTAGATTCCCTTCCTTTAGACTAGGTTATGACATCCTGTTTGTGTGGAGCCCTATTAGTATTTCTGGGTTTTTGCTTTTTATTTATTTATTTTTTTTTTGAGATGGAGTCTGACTCTGTCACCCAGGTTAGAGTGCAATGATGCAATCTTGGCTTGCTGCAACCTCCACCTCCTGGGTTCAAGTGATTCTCCCGCCTCAGCCTCCCTAGTAGCTGGGATTACAGGCACCTGCCATCATGCCCGGCTAAATTTTATAGAGATGGAGTTTCACCATGTTGGCTAGGCTGGTCTTGAACCCCTGACCGCAGGTGATCTGCCCGCCTCGGCCTCCCAAAGTGCTGGGATTACAGGCATGAGCCACTGCGCCCGGCCAGCTTCTTAAATTTTTAAGCACAGATTCAACCCATTCTTTCACAATGGTAAATTGGAATGAGAGACATTAATCAATTTTTTTCTGCCAGTCATCTTGTTTACTGATTACCTTCTCTTCTTTCCTCTTACGTCTTGTCTCTGTAAGAATTCTTTTCTTCCGTCTTCTCACTTCTGTTTGGCTATAGCAGTGATGAGGGGATAGGTGAAGAACTCAAATGGCAGATTCCAGTTTTTATTATTGCTGTTTCTCAGTTGTCACAACAACTAAACAAAACAAGAAAATCACATGAATGGTTTAGAACAGGATTTGTCACCCTCAGCACCATTGACACTGTGGGCAGGATCATTCTTTGTTGAGGGGGGGCTATCTTGTGCATTAGAGGATATTTAACAGCATCCCGGGCCTCCCCCAACCAGATGCCTGTAACAAGCCCTCACCCATCATGAAAGTCAAAAAGTCTCCAGGCATTGCTAAATGTACCCTGTAGGGGCAAAATCAGCCTCAGTTGAGACCCACTGGTTTAGAATCAGTATCTTTTCGTAAAGCAATGGTATTCAGAAAAGGCATTTTCATATGGAGCTACTTGAACAACCTGGTATTAAATGGTATCTAAAATAATTTATTACAACACTAACTACAATAAGAGCTCCCCTATTTTGGGCACTCACAATACACAAGACAGTATCTTGATTTCTGCACATTCATAATCTAATTTCACCCCTAAACGACACTGAATACCTCTATGAGGCTTGCATAAACCTAGGCATAATGCACAAATACATTTAGAGTCTCCATTTCTGTCGCCTCATGGTCACACTGGTATTCACTGACATAGCCTCAACTTTCCTCACACTATTCAGCATCAATTGTTTCATTTTTAAATGCTTTTAACTACTGATTTATATTAGAGTGGATAGTCATTAAAACAGTTACCCGAAATTTCCTTCCTTAAAAATAATCCTGCTGTTTTATTTTTCTGTATCCTTAGTGTTGGGCAACATATTTTTGTTTGTTTGTTTGTTTGTTTTTGAGACAAAGTCTCACTGTGTTGCCCAGGTTGGAGTGTAGTGCCATGATCTTGGCTCACTGCAACCTCTGCCTCCCGGGTTCAAGTGATTCTCCTGCCTCGGCCTTCTGAGTAGCTGGGATTACAGGCACCCGCCACCACGCCTGGCTAATATTTGTAATTTTAGTAGAGACAGGATTTCATCATGTTGATCAGGCTGGTCTTGAACTCCTGACCTCAGGTGATCCACCTGCCTCAGCCTCCCAAAGTGCTGGGATTACAGGCATGAGCCACTGCACCCAGCCTGGGCAACACACTTAGTTGATTCTCTTTTCAGTGTTCTACAGCGATCATATTAAGTTGTATATTTAAAAGTATCCTGGCCATGTAAACTGTCACTTTGGGAAGCAAACCAACTATGAGGGTTGCCTTGGTCTATGGAATCATTAGTAGAAAGATACTTCTTCATTACACAAGTTTTCTTCTTCACTGATGAAAACTGAATTTTAGAATTCATTGTAGGATTGTCGAACAGAGAAATGCACAATGTATACAATTCCTGTTTTATATGTCATGTGGCTCATTCTACATGCAAGAAAATATATTTTTATTTTCATAGGAAACAATCACATTTATCTAAAATAATTCCTCCAGAACTGAGTCACATTCCAAAAAAAAAAAAAATTCTGTGAGTGACTTGTCCAGCCAAGAGCAGGAAACTCATAATTCACTGTCAAGCCACTGATACACTAGTGGAAGCTGAAATTAAAACTGTGTCTGAAGACAGATTGACACTCAAGGCCAAGTCTCTACCACCGCCTGCAATTGATGATAGAATTTAGCTGGACAGGCTCATCTGGACATGTTGAAAAATTATTTCATATCCTGAACTCAAATGATTAATAAGTATTTTATTCCTCTCAATAAATCACAGACATATTGAAGATATATGAACAGGCTTTTCTATGTCCAAAGTGCATCAATAAAGAATTTTCTACATGTTAAGAAAAAAGTGGCTCACAAGTTGTAAATGTTAAACATGCTACTGAATTCCTAAAGGAAGATACAAGAGCTGTCCTCTCCATCAAAGCTACTGGGCTTCCTTGTGTTCTAATAATCATGATAATTAGGACCTATTTCCACTGTATTCTGCTTATCCGCCTTCTCAGTCACTGTCTAGAAAGACATAAAACTTTTGAATAAACAATAAATATTTTCAACCGTGGGTTTAATGGACCAATTAAAACTGTACCCAAAGCCAGTAATATACACCGCAGTTTCTGGCCTTACATTTTACAAGGAAGAATAAAGAATACCATAGACATATTTCTGCTTTGAGTGTGACACACACTGAACAGGGTCGCACTATTCATTTCCCAAAGTAACCTCAAATGAAGGACTTGATAATATAACAAACAATATTAAACAAGAAAGTTATTTAAAAAAACAGACTTCACAAGAGATTATGGATGTTCCTATAAGCCCACAGACGTTCCTCTGCACAAACACAATTTGTAATGATTATTGGTCAATAATTCTATATTAAATTGAAGAAGAAATATTTAATAACGTGTAATAGATTGCATATTTTAAGTCTTCTATATATCTAATATTTTGCTGAACACTTAGAGATAAGACAGTCATAATATCTCATCACTCATGGGATCTTCATTTGTCTTAATAGATACCAAAATATTGGATTTTTTACCATCCTCTAACATAAAATAGATAAGACAAAGGATAAAACCTAGTCATCATTAAATGTATTGAAACAATAGTGTGAAGATAGTTTTGCAAAAGTTCTGTCATGTATTCATTCAATAAAAACCATTGCAAAGCCTCTAAAACTATCTATGTACTGCTTGCTGTGCCTGTCACTAGGTTTAGAATGTTAAAGAAATCATACAAGTTCTCCTTTGCTCTCATGGATTATCTACTCTACATTGAGAAGACAAACTTGCGTATATACACAAGTGTGCAGGATGATCAGTGTGTGGCATCGTGATAGTGCAGACCGAGTCTCAGCTGGGTATCGCTTGGCAGCTGTTTTACGTAGCACAGGTAAGAGACAAGAGCTGTTAGATTTTGCATTCGCTAAACACAAACACAAAACCTGGTGGGATGCAAACTAAAAATCAAAAATTGCCTGCCAATCCTGCATCCCACTACAATTTAAAAATAAAACACTGGCTAGACTGGCACACAGTAATGAAGATAAGTTATCAACAGAGGTCTGCATTTGTTGGCCAACTGCTTGGGCCACGTCCTCTCCATTGTAATTAGTCTCACCAGAAGCACATAAAAATGGGCCTGTCCTTTGGCCTTCCCCTAAGGCACATTACCAGACCTGGGAGGTGCCATCTAAGAGAAAATGAGTTCACAGGTCAAATGACCATAGTGCCGGGGTTACAACCATGACCAAATGACAACAAATGAAGCAACGTATAACACGTAAGCCTGAATTGTTGTAATTGACAAGAATTTTAAAATTAAAACAAAATCTTTAAAAGGATAAAGGAGGATTTTTTAAATCTGAAAAATAAAGAAGAAATAATAAACCATCAAATAGAACTATTAAGTATAATGTGTAGTATTTGAAATGAAATAAACAAATGCTGGAAAAAAAGTAAGATGAGCACAGCTGAAGAATGATGGAGTTGAAAGATTCAACTGAGGAATCCTCGGATAAAACAGCAGAAAAGGGTAAATATTGACATGTAGAAACATCCACATCTGGATAACAGGAGTCCTATAAAACAAGAAAAACTGAAAGAGAAGAGGGAGTATTTAAAGGAACCATGATGAAAGTGTTTATCTTTTACAGCAATGGTGTTCAAACTTGAAACAAGGTGTCCACATCACCTAGAGGCAGTTGGGACTGCCAGACCCAGAGATTCTCACTCAGTGGATCTGATGTGGGGAACAAGACTGCGATTACAACAAAGCTGAAGATTCTAGAGACCAACTTTGAAAACCACCGTTTCAAAGAAAAAAGAAAGTCATTTTATTAAATGCTGTACAGAGAATTGAAAAGAAACTGCTCATGTACACTTTCTAATAAAGTGAGGAATAGGTGCTGCAAGGTTCATTTAAAGGCATTCGAAGATACAGAGCAGATTGCCTGCAAAGGGAAAAGTCATACTGATACCACTAGATGCAAGAAAACAATTAACTAATATTTAAAAATTAACATAGAAGGAAAATGTAAAATTTTGAATCTATAGTATTTTAGCTAACCAAATTGTTACGTAAAATAAAGCCAGAGCACTTATGTTCTCAGCCATACCTTTGAAATATCACTTTTTAAAATCAATTTGAGAAACACTTTCAAAGACATTTTCAAATAAAAGGAAAAATAAATTCATAAGAATTTAGCCAAAAAATACAGAAAATAAGATTAATTAAATTTATTAAAATCTATCTTTTTGTCTAAAGAAGAGGTAGATTAAAAAATGTGTTCACAACACCTGCAATAGTTAAATTTATGTCAGCTTGATTGGGCTTTGGTGCCCAGTTGTTTGGATAAACACTAGACTAGATATTGCTGTGAAGGTTTTTGTTTTTGTTTTTTAAATGGGATTAACATTTACAATCAGTAGGCAAAGTAAAGCAAATTAGCCTTCATAATGTAGTTGTGGCTTACGAAGTCAGTTTAAGGCCTTAAGAGTAAGAATTGAGGTTTCCGAAAGGAGGAATTCTGTCTCAAGATTGCATCATAGAAAGCCTGTCTGAGTTTCCAGCCTGCCTGGCCTGCCCTGCAGTATTTAGGACTCAAGAAGGCAACATCAACTCTTGCCTAAATTTCCAGCCTACCAAGCTATAGACTTCAAACATGTGTGTCCCTGCAATCTAGTGAGCCAATACCCTTAAACAAATGGCAAATCTCTATCATCTATCTATCTATCTATCTATCTATCTATCTATCTATCTATCTATCTATCTATCATCTATCTATCTGCCTGCTTACCTGCCTACCTATGTGAAGCGACCTAACAATTCAGAAGGAGCTAGAAAAAGAAACCTAGGTATAGCCACGTGGTGTGGGATTATGTGTGTGTGGATGAAATAAATTTGACATGAGAACACACTAGTGTATTTGTAATGAAGGAAAAATATACATAACAATATATCTACAAAATTCTAAGGATATTTAAGCCTCAATAGAATTTTTATGTTAAAGGTAAACAACTTAAGAATAAAAATAGGTCCTATGACTTTTAAACTAAAGGAAAAAGATGTATCCAATACAAAGTTGAAAAGAAGACAAAAATAAGAAAGAATATCCAATGCAAAACATAAAGTAGTGAGAAACATATGTCTCAATATAACAACAAAAAATCAGATTTGATTTTTAAAATCCACCAATATTTGACATAATAGAAGCAAACAAATAACACTGAAAGCTAAAGAACAAAAAATATTATATATTGGTAAAAAAATAGAGCTAAAGACATAAACACTTTAAACATCAATACATATACCAATATTTACAAGACCTGAGAGACTTATAGAAAAAGGCAGAAAAACAACAAATCTAATTTATGATACTCCTCCTTTAAAAGCTTATAGATTAAGAAGATAAAAATAAATAAGCAAAAATGTAGAATATATACATAACATAATTTATAAGCTTAAACTATTGTGTCTGTATAAATAGGCATATATGTAAAATTCTACAGGTCACAAATAAAAAAATGTTTCTGGACATTTATAAAAATTAGTCATGTAATAACCACAAAGCAACTTTCCAAAAAACTCCAGTAAGTCAGTAACATCACTCAGTTTTAAATAAAACAGTAGCTTAAACATTTTTAAATGACTCAAAAAATAATGTTATTAAATTACCATTGGAATCAAAGGAAATCAAAAGAAAAATTATAGCATATTTAATATGGACTAATAATTAAACACTATGTGTCCAAATATAAGTGAAAGTAGAAGTAAAGTTAAGCTGATACCTCTAAATGTATTTTATCGGGACTCAAAAACTCATCTTTTCAGAAAAAGAGCAGATATATCAATAAATGAAGCAAATAGTGGAATAAGAGAAATAACATCAAAAACAAAATTGAAAACAATGAAAATAAAATAATACAACAATATATTTAACACAGCAATTACATAGATAAACATTTTAATATATGTAGATAAAAATTGTTTAGGAAGACATTGAAGCTTGCTTAAACTAATAAAAGTATAAATGCATTGATATGCTAATCAAAACATTACTTTTCCCCAAAGCCTCAGAATCCCACGTTACTTTGAAACAATCCTAAAATTAGAGAAGAACTAAAAGGATAGAAAAAAAATCTGTTTTCTACCCTGAACCATCTGAGATAAAGTTGTCAGCTGGGAGCCCATCACCACCAAATACTTTAGTATCTTTTTCCTACAAGCAAGGGCATCCTCCTGCATAACCTCAATACTCATAATCCTCAAAGCCAGGAAGTCAGCACTGACGCATTACTGTATCTGACCCTCAGGTCCAATTTCTCCAATTGTTTCAATGTTTATCATAGTAAAGGAGCCAGCTCAGGATCACAGGTTGCTTTTAGTTAATCATTTCTCTTTAGGCTTCTTTGGTCTGGACAAGTTCCTCATACTTTCCTTGATTTTCTTGATTTTGATAATTTGAAGTTGACTGCGGCATGACAGTTCTCTGGGATTTCTTTGGCTACTGCATATCTTGCAAGGAAAGACACTGACTACTTTTGTTCCAGATTATCATTTTAAAGATGATTGTTTAGCAAATAGTTTTGGAAGATAAATAGGGTTTCTTGCTCTGGACGTACTTACTGCCCATTGTACTCCAATTCCTTTTGCATCAACCTAATAAAAGATTCAGGTTCCCTGAGTTCATGGTTCCTCTATGGTAATGCAACCTGCTGCATGTGCAGGTGTTACTGGTCCTCTTTGTGCTGCCTTATGGGAAATGATCTTAGGAAACCAACGCAAAAGCTGGTTCTCTTGCTCCTGTGACTGCTGTGTGTGATGAAGTCTTTGTCTCTGACCTAGGAGTCTTACGTCTTCTGCCGGCATCCATCACAATGTAGCAAGCTAACATTTTAGCTTGTAAGCAGAGTAAAATCTCAGACCCTCACAGTTCTTAGAACTCAGAGGCCAATTATTTAGTTTTGACAGGTATTTTCTCATGATAAGATTTAGGAAATCCCTTAATTTGGTTACATATCATAAAACTGTCATATTAGACATTATGCAAAACTTCTGACATATTCCTTTATGACTAGAAACTAGACAAAAATGTTCACAATCACTTCTGCTATGCTGGAAAGAAAGAATTACAATAGTTATTCTTTGCAGATGATATGGTCATCCACATAGAAAAGCCAAAGAATCAAACAATTATTAATGTTAGAATAAACACAATAGTTTATCAAGGTCACTTTACAACGACCGATTTACAAAAACTAATAATATTTATCTTCACTAACAGTAAAAAGTTAGAAAATAAAATAGTATATAAGATATTTGCATTCATGGTAAAAACTGTAACATTTTAAAGAATTGACTAAAGAAAGAAGTCAAAAGCCTCCCTAGGGAAAAACCCTTTATGTATTAAAGGAACTTACAGATTTGAATAGATGGAGAGACATTCAATGATTCATTAGTATTTTTAGTTTCTAAGTATTATTAAATGATGATTAGCCACATATTAGAAGGTCAATTCCATGTAGGCCTATCAAACTGTTAAGTGTTTTCTTTTTTAGGAAAAAATATAGTGTACATGAATATTTATTCTTTTTACTTATCTCTAGATTTTTTTTGTCTTTTCCTGTTTCAGTGTAGTGATCCAGGGTCACCACCATTGCCAACTCTCTTTCTAACAAATTAACAGCATCTAAAACACAACTGCCTGTGTGTCTGAGTTAGTACAGTGTGAAAAAAGTTTCTGTCAATATTAGTTTGTAAATCAGAGTTCTAATGGGATGTCCATCCACTTTACAATCAAGTTAACAAGAGAGTCAGAGAGATGAGGAAGAGGAAAACATGTTATGGTGACATCCTAGGGTGATGCCAGTGGTTATTTAGCTTGTAACTAAATATCACCTGTCCCACTATTTCACCCAGCTTCTCCTCATCAGAGGGTGCAGGAGTGGGCACCAGAGGCATACGTGTGTAGTTGACCATTCCACGTTGCCACTTCTCCCTGCTGGTGTCCTCCTGCTGCTGTCAACGGTGGAGGGAGAGCTAGCCTAATGAATTATGACGGGAACATCACTGTGGTTTAGAATTCCATATAGGAAACAATGTCATGATTTTGGGGGATAGAATTAAAAATTAATATTTTAAACATATTAAACCCATATATTTGATATTTAATATTTTTATTATTAATTTTAAAATACATAAAGCTTCTGACAAATTATTTTTATTTATTTTGATATTCATGGAGAGAAAAATATGTGGTAAAGTACTACTCTACACTGAAATACTTTATTTAAAGTTATTGAATGCTTTTAAGCAAGGTAGTTTAGAGAATTTTGAACTATCTATACAGTGGTTTTTTAAGATTCCTAGAGAAAAATTATGCTAAATAACAGGCTTTTTGAGCACTGATAATGATACTAAGTTACTTATTCAAACGTGTCTTTCTGCCAAGACCAAGTTCCTTGAGAGCAGATTCTTAAATGCAGCATCTTGGTTACCTTTGCTTACTTATTTTTTAATTTCCTTATGTTTATCTTTGTTTACTTACACCTAATCGGTGCTCAATAGACTTTGCTGAAACAAAATGACGCCTTGTGGTTGACCAGTGTCTCATTACCAGGCAGCTTGCCCTGGAGAAAAATAGAGCAGTTGGTTTAAATCAAGACGCTCTGAGAATTAGCTAAGTGATTTACCTCTGCCAAGTAGGAACTATAAATACTGTCAGACTAAAAGCACCCGTTGCCTACCTACTGTGTACTGAGCATCATTCAATTGGCACACCTACTCAATAATTGTGAACAGATGGAATTAGCGCATAGAAAAGAGCATGTGTTTTTCCCTCTCCATCCACACATACCAACCTAGAAAAATAGAATTCTCCATCATGGTATTTTTTTTTCTAACAAGGACATCGTCAAATGTATTAGTCAAACTTGGAGTCCCTCCAAAACTAAAGCTTACTTCTAAATTTAGAACTAATGAGCTCTCTGTGTGTACCAAAGTAGAAAGCACATATTTTCTCTGTTAGCATTGAGGCCTTTTATTCAACATAACTCTACTGCGAAAGAGAATATAAATGTTTCTTCTTTAGTGTTACTGGCTTGCAAAACTCAGTCACTGGGAAAAACATGAACACTAGGGAAGAATGATAGGTTTGTAGAGAACATTCATTTCAGAGAATGGTAGAATCCTCCATTTAACAGGTCTTTAAAGATCCTCCAGCCCAGCGCTTCTTAACAGCTAGAATTCCTTTTAAAATGACACCTTGGGTGATCTCCAGTGCTCTACCTACCTCCAGCGTCAAGGCAGCTCCATCCACATCTGAGTTGCTTCAGTGGAGGGTCCCCCTGGCACAAAACCAAACTCATTTTTGCTATTGCCTCCCTCAGTGACTTCTGAGTTTACTTTTTGGGACACACAGATTGAGGACTCTTTCCTATGACACTTTCCTCGTGCTTGATGACAAACAACTACCGCATGTTCCCCTCTCCAGGTTTCTCTTCTCCATGCCAAAAACTTGCATGTCTTAACCCTTCCTCAGTGCCTCAATTTCCAATTGCTTCATCCTTCTGGCCACATTCTTGCCATGTTCTCCATAATACAACTTATTAAAGATGGATATCATGACATTTAAAAGAAGTTAACTGTGGCAGAAATATAAAAAATGAATTCCTAGGGAAGGTACTCAGGTCCCAGCTACTTGTCACAGCAGAAATGAGTGATTTTTAAAATTACACTTGAGAGTAAGTCCAGGACGATTTTACTTACAGAATAAAAGGAAGTAATAATATTTGAGAACAGGGAGATGAAAGACCCAGGAACACCTTTGAGACCTACTTTGGGAGGTTAGTGGAAAATTATACTCTTAATTTTAAACCAGAATATAAAGAATAGGGTCAATTTACCTGTAGGAAGACAGACATACTTCATTGAATGTGTTCTGTTAAATTCTTATAAAATTCCCAGGTAGATGAGTCTATAGAATAGTTAACCTATCTATACCTTGGTTATATAGGAAAGCATCTCGTAGCCTGGTGTTCTCACCCAAGACAAGCCCCACAGCTGTGCTTAAGCAATTTAGGGTGCTGAAATGTAACTGAATTCTTCTTTTTCACAAATGTCTGCTCTTTTTTGCTGAATCGCAATCACAGACACCATCATCCAGTTAACCTTTCAAGTGATAAAATTGATACTTTTCCATGACTTCTCTTTTAAAAAAAATCTGTCAGTTGCCAGATTTCCTCAATCTCAAAAATGTCTATCAAATCGTACGCTTTGCCGCATTTGAACACCATTGCATTAGCTCCTCCAGCCACCAGTCTTTAGTGTCTTGTGTTGGTCCATGGTTTCCTACCTGTCCTCTTGATGAAGAGCTCTTCCCAGTGGGGATGGGGCCCAGCTTGGATAGTCCTGCAAGAGCACAGAGCTGAATGCTCAATAATTTTGTGAGCCGGTGAAACAAGTGCTAGCTTGAAACTGACCGTAAGAAGGGACAACACACTCTGGAGCCTACTTGAGGGTAGAGGGTGGGAGGAGGGAAAGGAGCAGAAAAAAAGTAACTAATGGGTCCTAGGCTTAGTACCTGATGAAATAATCTGTACATCAACTCCCTGTGACATGAGCTTACCTATATAACAAACCTACACATGTGTCCCTGAGCCTAAAATAAAAGTTAAAAAATGGCCAGGCGCCATGGCTCATGTCTGTAATCCCAGCACTTTGGGACGCCAAGGCAGGCAGATCACCTGAGGTCCAGAGTTCAAGACCAGCCTGACAAACGTGGAGAAACCCCAAGTCTACTAAAAAATACAAAATTAGCCGGGCGTGGTGGTGCAGGCCTGTAATCCCAGCTACTCGGGAGGCTGAGGCAGAAGAATCACTTGAACCCAGGAGGCAGAGGTTGCAGTGAGCTGAGATCCTGCCATTGCACTCCAGCCTGGGCAACAAGAATGAAACTTCATTTCGAAAAAAACAAAAAAAGCTAAAAAAAAAGCTAAAAAAAAGAAAATGTGGTACATATGCACAATGGAGTACCATTCAGCCATAAAAAAGAATGAGATTGAGTCATTTGCAACAACATGGGTAGAACTGGAGATCATTATGTTAAGTGACATAACTGCAGCAGAGAAGGATGAACATCACATGTTCTCACTTATTTGTGGGAGCTAAACATCCAAATAATTGAACTCATGGACATAGAGAGTAGAAGGATGGTTACTGGATTATTTGCAACTCAATGGATGAATGCTTGTAGGGGTGGATACTCCATGCTTCATGATGTGCTTATTTCACATTGCATGCCTGTATGAAAACATGTTATGTACTCTGTAAATATCCTACTATGTACCCACAAAAATTAAAAATTTAAAAAAAGAAAGACACTGACCATAGCTGGAGTATTCACAGTATGAAATCTACAAACACTACAAATTAGGACTTTTCTTTTTTCTTTTATTAGAATACAACTGATCTTGACCTTCCAGTCCAACTGCCCCCTCGGTGTCAGAATTATCTTCCTAAAAAAGCAAAGACAGTAATGCCAGTATCCACTATCAAAATGGGACATGGGAAATGCTATTTTTATCAATGTAAGGTCATGACTGAAATATTGGTGAGCAAAGCAGTTTTATATATATATATAATATATATATAATATGATATATATAATATATATATAATATGATATATATAATATATATATAATATGATATATAATATATATATAATATGATATATATAATATATATAATATGATATATAATATATACATTATATGATATATATAATATATACATTATATGATATATATAATATATACATTATATGATATATATAATATATATATTATATGATATATATAATATATATGTATTATATGATATATATAATATATATATTATATGATATATAATATATATATATTATATGATATATATTATATATATTATGTGATGATATAATATATATATATGAGAGAGAGAGAGAGAAAGACAGAGTTTTGCTCTTGTCACCCAGGTTGGAATGCAGTGGCATGATCTCAGCTCACTGCAACCTCTGCCTCCAGGGTTCAAGCTATTCTCCTGCCTCAGCCTCCTGAGTAGCTGGAATTACAGGCCGTGCCTGGCTAGTTTTTGTATTTTTATTAGAGATGGGGTTTTGTCATTTTGGCCAGGCTGGTCTTGAACTTATGACCTCAGGTGATCCACCCAGCTCGGCCTCCCAAAGTTCTGAGATTACAGGCATGAGTGACAGCACCTAGCCTGATTTAAATATATTTATAATCAGAGCACTGCACATGCACATAGAGAGACACATGCTCACACGTGTTCTTCATTGTAGAACTTCAAATGGTGGCAATTCTTGGTAAAGCAGACAGTGGGTTCAGCTTCAGGGATGGTGGAAGTCCTTCTGCTCAGGCATCCCATTCAATAGCCTCTTTACCCCTAACCCGGAATCTTTATTAAATGTTTCCATGTGCCCTGTGTCTTATTTATCCATTGATGTCTCATAAGTTTGACATATAGAGAAGATGGTGATTCCTAGTCTCAAGGTAGAATTCTTTCATCCATGTGTTCTCCAAAGACAATTTGTTTTTCCAAAGTGAAAATCTGTGTTATATTCTGTTTCAGAGGAGGTGAAAAGATCTCTGGTAAATTGGTTTGCTGAAAATCAGTAGAAATCGATTTTTCAAAATTGCAAGGCCAATTCTGGTGTTTCTGAGATGAAGACAAAGAGTTCCCGGACACTCTGTGCCTCTGTCCAGTTTTCTTCACATGACTACATACCCCAGTAATTAAATCTCCAGAAGTTCTTCGTGCAGCCAGGCAATTTCTGTTTGAACTCTTGGCTAGTTTTAACTATTGCCCCGTCATTAACTTTACTTATAAATGCATAATTTATTAAAAATTGATATTATAATTTGGTCTAGTCTGCTCAAAATATCTTTCTGCTATCCTCCCCCAGGCCAACTAGTTAATTTTTGTTTGTTCTCTATTTAAAATAAATTTCTGGATTGCTCTTATAGCTCGTAATTACATCAGCACCATTGCATTTGGTCTGTCATCATTCACATATTTCACTGCTTTCAGAACCCTGCTGGTTTCCTCTTGTCCAATGAAATATATGCTTCAACATCTTGTTAAAATGAAAATGATTGTGTGAGAAGCTGGATGAGGGAGAGGTGTCTGCATTATTGTGCACACTGCAGTTTGACAGCCATTGGCCTATAGGTCAAGCTAATAGCCAAACTCTTTAGTACGAAGCATACTTTTCCTTCAGCATCCATCTCTAACATCTTACCTACCTTTAAAATCCCATTTCCAGCTACACTCATCCCAAATTCCTGAAACACTGCATTGCTTATTTGTTCCCTGTTCTCTAGTCGCTGGGCATATTAGAAGTTTTTACATTTTCATAAATTCTTATCTCTGCTTGGGATGACTTCCTCTGCATCACTGCAACCAGATATGGTTTCCAAAGCCAGCTCCTCAGAAAATCATAATAACTAACAATTACTGAGTTCTTTCAACATGTGAGGCATATTGTTAGGTCCTTCCAGGAATTACTTCATTCAATCATACCTGCATTTTAAAGGAGAGGGTTTAAGAGGAAGAATGTGAGGCTCTGGCCCACAAAGTCACCTGCCCATGTTTACGCAGATTCAAATCCTGTCCTGGAGACAGGAGCCCAGGCAGTTTGTACACTGTCTTTATCACTCTCCATTGCTTTCTCTTGATATATTTTCTTCACAGCAATCATCATTTTCTAAGATTATTTTTTATGTCTTTATTTAGAAGTTTTGTTATATTTTCACCTATTAGACTCTATGGTTTAGTACTCCTGGGCTTCTGATTGTCTTTTATACATGGAAAAGACTCTATAGGTATTTCTTGGATGGATGGAGGAAGGGATGGATGGATGGATGGACACATGGATAGGTGATGGATGGAAGGATGGATGGATTATGGATAGAAGGATGGATGGATGAATAGATGGATGGAAGGATGGATAGATGATGGGTGGAAGGATGGAGAGATGATTATTGTTATCTGGGTCTTTCCTTTTAATGGGAGAAGTAATACAAATGTCTAGACAGATAAATAAGCATGTAAGTCACATATTCAGAAATGGCTCACATGTTTCTCCTATTTTCTCTCCATATGGTAACAAGTTTGAGGCAACACTTTGCTTCTTAATGTGTGGTCTGCAGAACAACAGCATCAGAATAACCTGGGAGATTATTAGAAATCCAGAACCTTAAACTTCTCCCCAGACCCACCAAATCAAAATCTATATTTTAACAAAATTCCCAGTTAGTCCTATGTGCACATCATTGCACACAGTTCATGTGACTAGTGCTTGTTTTTATCAGGAAGTAGCACGAAAGAGTTCAGACTTACAATTGATTTGCTAAACATACCTGAAAGCACTTTTGAACTGAGAAGCTCTAAATTATTTCTGTTTCAATTTAGAAATAAAACAATCATTTTTCCTGTTAGGTCCCTACCTAATGTAAAAATAATCAAAAATTATGTACTACACAATACTAAAAAAGCACTAAGAAAACCATATAAAACTAAAATGAATTAAATCCTTTTTTAGTATTCTAAAAAGCTGATTTCAACTAAGAATGCCGTTCCTCAGCATTTCTGGTTGACTAAATACCATTTTAAAAATCAAAGTCATTTTCATAAATCTCCTTATATACTAAAAATGTGACTTACTAAATATAATTTTCAAATCCAATAGGAACAAATGAAAGAAAATTGGACTGCATTATTTCATGTAATTTATGCAATTGTTATCCTTATGCATGTTCAAATTTTATAAAGATAATAAATACAGAATAATTAAATAACTTTAATTTAATTTTTTAAAATTTAAATTATTGGTATGTAGTTATCAAGGCAATGTTAATCACATGTATAACATATTGAATATATGCATACAATTACATAACTGCCTTGACTTCTATAGAAACATACTATTTTTTCAAAAAATAGACTTCTTTCTTTATGGTAGTCTTAGGTTTATAGAAAAATTTCACAGAAAGTAGAGTTCCTATCCTTTCCACTTTTTCAAGTTTCTCTTTCATTAAAATCTTGCATTCATCTGGTACATATGTTACACCCGAGGGGGCAATATTGGTACATTATTATTAACTGAAGCACACAGCTTATATTAAGGTTCACTTTATTTTTGCTATACATTCTTTGCATCCTGCAATGAATCCACCATTACAGTGTTCTACAGAATCGTTCCACTGCCCTAAGAATCCTCAGTGCTCTACAACTTCCTCCCTGCCTTCCCCTAACCCGTGGCAGCCACTGATCTTTTTACTGTCTCCGTAGATGTGTCTTTTCCAGAATATCGTAGAGTTGGTTCATACAGTCTCTAGCTTTTGAATACTGGCTTCTCTCACTTAGTCATATGCATTTAAGGTTCCTCCCTGTCTTTTCATGGCTATGTAGGTCATTTCTTCCAGCGCTGAATAATATTCCAGTGTCTGCCTGTACCAATGTTTGTTTATCATTTATCTATTTAAGGTCATCTCGGTTTCTTCTGGTTTTTGTTAATTATGAATAAAGTTCTTTAAACTCTTCTTGTGCAGGTTATGTTTGTACACAAGTTGTATCAACTTATTTGGAAAAATACTCAGGAGCATGATTGCTGGGCTTTATGGTAAGCCTGTGATTAGCCTTGTGAGAAACTGCCAAACTGTCTTCAAAAGTGGCTATAACATTTTGTATTCCCACCAGCAATGAATGAGAGTTCCTGTTGCTTCACATCCTCATCAGCATTTGGTGGTGTCTGTACTGTGGATTTTGGCCAATCTAGTAAGTGTATAGTGGACTCTCATGGTACTTTTAATTTATACCTACCCACTAACATATGAAGTCCAACATCTTTTCCTATGGTTAGTTGCTGTTGTGTATCTTCTTTGGGGTGGTGTCTTTCGCCTATTACTAATTGGGTTTCTTGTTTTCTTATTGTTGAGCTATTTGCATGTTTTGAATACTAATCCTTTATCAGATATGTGTTTTCCAAGAATTCTTCTCTCACCATGCGGCTTATCTTTTCAATCTCTTAACAATGTCTTCACAGAGCAGAAATTTTTACTTTTAATATCGTCTGACTTGACAATTATTGTCTCATGGTTCTTCCTTTTGTTGCTGTATCCAAAAAGTTTTCACCAAATCAAAAGTTGCCTAGATTTTCTCCTGTTTGATTAAAATTTTGCATTTTTTACATTTAGATCTACAATCCATTTTTATTTTTTTGTGAAAGGTATAAGGTCTGTGTCTATAATTTTTTTTTGCCTGTGCATGTCTATGTCTAATTTTTCTAACCCTAAAATACATTGAAATAGCTTTGATTTTCAATGTATTTTTGAAAATATAATTTGTAAAGAATTAATTGCTTTTAAGGATATTCCAAATACCAAGTCATTCAATATTTTAATTTGCAGGTTGCATAGCATTGGCTCAGTTCTATATTTTCAGACTAATTTCAGAGTAAGTTCAAAATCTGTAACAAAGCATGTTATACATTAAGTAATGCAATTTTTATTGAATCTGCCTGACATCACCAAATTTTAAAAACTAGCTACTGTAAACAACTCTAAGTAGTCTTTGACAAAGTAGTGGAGTAGATCAAGGTTCTCTTTTGCCAAGTTTTCCTCCTAAGACTCTTTACCTCTGCCTAGACACCATGCATTGTTAGGAAGTTAATGAGCAAATTAGGCTTGCTTACCCTATAGCCTCATTCTAACTATCTCTTGTTAGCAGTTTCTTGTACTTGTTACTTTATTTTACCATGATTCATGGACTAGAGGTTCATAAAATTACTTTCCTCTATCTAATTTTTATAATGTATGGTTATTTTACTCATGATAAAATATTAATACAAACACTAAGCACCCTTTTATTGAGTAATTACTTTCTATGCTTATCTTATTTAATCCTGACTATAATATCATTATTGTCAGGATTAAACAAGATAAGCATATTGAATATGTTTATATTGAATATATTGAATAATGGATTATACTGTTATATCATTTGTATGGCTGAGGACCCTGATACTTAAAGGAGTATGGTAATTTATGTAAGGTCACATAGTTAATTAGCATTACAGTTACATCTGACCCAGTCTGGCTGGCTCCAAAGTTCTTGGTCATAAACTCTAAAATCTGATTAAGGGAAGGGAATGGCCTTCTACGAACAACTTTTCACCCAAAAGGACAATTGCAATGCTCACAATTCGGAAACTTCAGCAATCCAACAGAAGTGAGTATGTGGATGCTCATCCATTCTAGTTTTGTGTTTAACCTGAGATTTTTTTCAAAAGATGGAATGGTGGTTGTGGAGTGAGTTTGAATGAAAAAAAAGTCTATTTTATAATTCTGCAGCTCTGAAAATAATCATAATCTTTAGGAGTAGATTGCATGAAAAATGCCCCATCATTTCAAATGTGTTTTGAATTATCATATGTGTCTAGAATTCTGTGGTTGTTCATAAGAAATGTGTTGCTGAAAATAGGCATTGATCATAATCACACTTTTTGTAATGCAGTTTTATTTATAAAAATAAAGCAAAAACAACTACTTTTATTCTTTCCTTGAAGTGTTTGAAACCTTTGCTTTACTGCTTTACCTTGAAAGATCATTGTTTCCTTAGACTTTAAAATGATATTCAATAGTGTCATTTAGAAATGGCTTTGTGTTTAAATATGAAAATTTCCAAGCAATTAGTTCCTTTAGTGGACTAATTGCTGTTGCTATTTAAAACTAAAATTAAACAATATAGCTATTTCAATTTGATCAGAAAGATTTATGCTTTGAAATAAATTTATAAAATTTCATAGGGAGATTCTAGCTGCTTTTTCCTAAGTACATATGACATATTTTGGTTAGCTTGTACTTAGGACTATTGGAGTGATTATTAATAATCTAAGGTTCCTTTAGTAAAACTTCAATGCAATTGATCCAGAAAAAACAAGGCTGTTGATTGATCATTGATTTTTAAACTTCATATACCCTTTATGTGCCATGTTATGGATCAGTTGCAATCGTGCCATTGGAAATATGCTAATTAATAAACTTTTCTGATTAACTTCTTGATATATCCTTGACCCAGTCATCATTACTGCAAAATGTTAGAAGTCCTTCATCATATTGTACAAGTAGTCTATAAAGAGTCTGATAACCACTGAGAAGCAAGCAAAACCATTATCTTTGAGACATAAGGGGAATGACATTCATTTGGATAATATTCAACAGGGTCCCCTAAGATTAATAAAGCTAACAAGGGAAAAGCCCCCTCCATTTGTGTGTTTACAGAGGTAAAAAACAAACAAACAAACAAACAAAAAACAGCTCAGGAGCCGGGAGGCTAGAGGGCAGAATGCTCTTGCATGGAGAAAAGGAGATATGGGTCTTATACTTAGACACTGAGCATTCATGGGAATATCAGCAAAGGGTTAACATCTCTGGGAGATTCATTTTTCATGTGAAAAATGAAGGCATTAAACAATCTGATTCAAAGAGTCCACAAAACCCTGAAAATCTTGAATTGTATGATTTTGTATTTGCTATGCCCCCTACCCTCTTTAATCCAAATCTCTGCTGCACACACAGCAAACTTTGACCCAGTCTTGAGGCAACTCTATTTCTGCCCTCTTGGGAGCTCTCCCAGCAGCTGGGAAGGGATAATCATTACCAGTGCTCAATGTTTCTATTCTTTGTAACAAGCAACCGACTCTGATGACCTAAGCTGTAACAGAATTTGTACAAATATTGAAGAGTCCATAGAATATTTAGGAGAGTTCAAGAACCATGTCTAGGAATCCACACAGCCAGAAACACAGACAGACATGCTGCAGCACAGCTCAGTGAGGCCACAGCTGCCACTGTTGCTGCCATCAGGGGCTGCAGCCTTTACCCCGATACTCCAGGGTAGGATGCTGACAGTTGCTGCTGGTATCACTTCCACCGCTATACCCAGAAATTGCAGGGTCTCTGCTGCGGATGGTAAGCAGGCTGCAGGACTCTGGATCCTGTGCTGCAACCCTCTGAGTGAGGCTTAGCAAATGTCTACACACCATTCTTACGGAATGGACTAGGGATACCTCCAGCTCAATGGGAACTGCTGTTTCACATAGCCCAGGTTAAAGGGTCACTTTGACTCCATGTTGAACATGGAGAGTTATCTTTTGTTCTAGGGCCTTGTTAAAAGAAAAAAAAAAGAAAGGCAGCCTGGTGCCGACAGAGTGGCTCACGCCTGTAATCCCATCATTTTGGGAGGCTGAGTTAGGGAGATTACTTGAGCTCAGGAGTTCAAGACCAGCCTGGACAACATAGTGAGACTTTTCTTTTCAAAAAAGAAAAGAAAAGTTAGTTGAGTGTGGTGGTGTGCGCCTGTAGTCCCAGCTACTTGGTAAGCTGGGGCAGGAGGATCGCTTGAGCCCAAGAGGTCGAGGCTGCAGTGACCCATGATCACGCCACTGGACTCTCACCTAGGTGACAGGGTAAGACCCTGTCTCAAAAAAGAAAAAGAAAAAAAAAGGCAGCTTTCCAAGGCACCTGATAAATGGATTCGAGCAGTATTTTCTAGCTTCTGACTCCAAAATCACAGAGGTCCACCAAAAGAAGTCTGCTTTTTTCTTTGTGATGCAGGTACAAAGTGTTCTTTATCTTGAATGGGATGTCTCACCATACTCCCAATCACTGACTCCTAAAATAGTTACCGACACCTGGGATTCCTCAATCTTAAGTAGAATTTATTTCTCACCATCTGCTACACACTTATCTTATGACAAGTTCCAGAATCCTTGCCACTTTTCTCCCAGGTCTGATTAACTTGATGCCATCATTTTTATGAACCATTGCAACTTTCTGCAGACTTTTCAAACAATTCTGTCCCATTCATCCTTTATTGTGACAGACAGCAGGAGAGGTAGTATAAATGTGGAGATAGAATGCACACTGCTGTACCTTTGGAATGAATGAGCAATGTTTCCTGCAGATAGGGAATGAAAAGAAACTGTTTGCCAGATACCAAGGTCAATGGAGGTTCTGGATGTGTCAAGCAAGGATGTCACATCAGGCACAGCGCTGCAAATGGGGAACCACTTGCAGGTTCATGGCGTTCCCCAACATCTGCCACTGTCCATCTACATCATGCACGGGCCAGAGAGATGGCTCACAGGGGAAACCAGCGAGGACCACCACGCCTGTATGCTTATGTCTTTGGGGGTGGCACGAATTTCTGTCCTTTCCATTGGGATGATGTACTGTTTCTGATTCACCATCTTGGTGGGGAGAGGGCAGTTTCAAGGGTTTCCACTTGGCCATTTCTTTGACAATTGCTCATACTCTATACATCATGGAACAAATGTGAGGGATCTTTCAGCTGCTAAGTGTATTCATCCCAATGATATACTCAGAGACCAGAGAGATCGCTCACAGTGGGTCTGGAGATGGCTGTACCCAGGACACGGTGGACACAAAATAGGACCACAGTCATGACATGGTCTTGAGATACCCATCTCTAAGAGGAGAGCCATGTTGGAATTTGGGGTTCTCTGGTATTTGAGGTTTCCTGCTTCAGCTGACTCTGTATGGGGCAGCCCTTGTGAGATCTGTCTATCTCCTTCCCCAGGACCAACTCACTCCAGTAGATGGCTATAGATGCCTTGGTGAGGAATGAGTGGTGGGTATCACTATTGAGCATACTCAATACTGGGCCATTGTCAGGTCTTTCTTGAAGAGATCAAACCCACCTTAAACTGATAGAATTTGAAGCTGAGAAATGAGTCAGGTCTGGAAATGGGCTGCAGATCATTATTTTGCTTTGAGTTAACTGATGTAAGCCTTTAACTCACCTACTCTTGGTGATTTTCTACAGGTGTTGGGCAAGACCCTAATTGGCTGCCCGTCAGTCTCACAACCATGGCCCCTTTTCCATCAGGCTTGGCCAGAGGTCTCCTGGTTGTCTTGCTGTTGCCTGTGCTGCCAATTTGTGTCTGTCACTTGTCATTCTCATTGATGTTAGGGGGCTCAGTCCCATCGCACCACATTCTGCTGTCACAGGTCCACAAAGCACAGCTAACACCAAGCTGATTAACAAAGCTGGCATGAGCCCAGCATCCTCTCTTGATTTCATGGCTGGAATGTCCCCTGAATCTCCCCAGGGCATAGGGTCAGCAGATGACTTCTCTGACTTTAGGTAAAAAGTCCTAACTAGTATGTCTATCTACCTAAGATATCGGACTCCTTTCTCAATGCCATCAAAGCAATTCTAGCATCCCCATCTCAATAGCTCTCTGCCAAATTCCAGGAGACAGAACAACACTCAAATAGATAGGACCAGGTATCTGGGACAGTCATCGAATCATGAATCATAGAATAATTTCCCTCACATCCATTAGCTCTTTCTTCTTGTCTTACATTCAGCCTAATCCAAACCTTGATCTGATACTTTCAGAACACATTCTGTCAGTGTATATGAGCTGCTCATGGAAAGCTTTGGAGAATGATCCCCTTTCTCCTGAGCCAGATACATTATTCCTCACCTGGCCCATTCTGGAAAATGATTTTAATATTGTTCTGCATGGTATTGGGGCAGTGGCGGCAGATATGGAGGAGGGCAACTTGTGGAGCATCCCTCTCAGGGGAGACAAGCACACAATCTCTAGGCACAGTGAGGCTGTTGTCTCCTCACAAGGGCAAGAAGGACTTTTGTGAGGGCTGAGGGAGCCCAGGGGAATCTTATATTTCAAAGTAACCAAGAACATTTTCCACCCAAATCCTAAAGGATGGTGGCCCCATGATATTTACATTTAACTCAGCTGTAGAACCCCTCAAAACAGCCAGGAAAAAAAAAAGCTCTAATCACCACTGCTGTGCCCCATGTGTTATCTTTGTTGGAGCAGCCTCTATCCGTGGTAAGCCATCATTAATCCAATGGCTGCACTCTTTCCCAGAAGCAGTTTACATGCTCTTGGGAGAGACAAGAAGTATTTTCCCCACAATTTCCCAATCTTTGCGTTAAGGCCTCTGGACTTTATGGACATTCTGCAGAACGTAACATTGGTCCACCATATTCATTATTCCATATTAATCAGCCCAGATGATACACAACTGACAGGTACCTTTGAAGATGTAGTAAGCTGTTTATATTTCAGAGGATGGGGGAAAAACCCTGTGAATATTCAGTGGCTTGCCACATCAGTGAAGATTTATAGGTCCATAAAACTAAAATATGTAGAACCTTCCTCTTTAAAGTGAAGAAAAAATCATCTGATAGCTTCCACCTATAAGAAAACGTAACACCTGGTAAATTTCTTTAAGTTACAGATGCAGATGTTTTATGTGAGGAAACACTATTCCAAATGTATATGGGGTGATGTGAAAGCCCATTTCAAGTGAGACCCAGAACATGCAAAGTGGGGGCTGCATTGCAAGTGGTCCTGCTGCTTATAACCCAGAAAACCTATAACCACAGAGGTCTTGCTGGTGGAAAGATACTCACTGGCATTTATGAGAAGCCTTGAAAGGAGATGCTCAGTGTGTACGCCAAAGTCCTGAAACAAGTCCATGCCATCTGAAGTGAGGAATTATATACCACTTGAAAAATAGCTCCTAGAGCTCTACTGGGTCCTGGGACACACAGAGCACCTAAGAGGAGGACATCAGGTGTGGCTAGGGTTATCCTGCATGAGACGGGTTCTGTTGGACCTACTACATCATAGGGTCAGCCCAGCAGCAATCTATTGTAGGATAGATGCAGGGCCTCTGGGACTCAACAAGAGCATTGCCAGGCACACATGTAAGCTTCAATAGTGAGTGGACCAGACTCCCATAAAGTTCACCACTGCTTCGCTGGTACCATTTCCAGATGGAGCCACCCTGACAGAGGAGGGTAGTCCCTCTCTGGAAGGTTCTTTTGCTTGTTAAAGGTCATGCCTCTTTTTTGACTGCAGCTCACATGCAAAGTCTGGTCAATATGGAGTATTAAGGCCTAAGCCCCTTGCCTCAGTTTGGAACAGTTCCAAGGAACCATTTCTTTTTCAGAACTTCTGCGGAATGAGCAGAGTCTTTTGTTGTGTTTATATGATTGTCCAGTTCTCCTTCTGTGCAATACTGCTTTCTCAACCCTCACTGATGTCGGTCTCAAAAGTACTCCACTTTAACCTCCATGCACACGTCTTAATTTCCCAGAGCACCTGACACAGGACATGGGACATACGCCTGGTGTACAAACATGCAGGTGTGCTTCCTATTATGAATTAACTAAACAATTCCAATCTGCAAGGCACTACGCTGGGCTTGAACCTATGCACCCTGGTGCCAGGAACTGTGCCCGGCTTAGGTGCAGAGACAAATGAAATGCTGGGCACAGAGCAGGCCATCAAAAAGTTTTGTTGAATGAATAAGTGGAGGAATCTACCCATCCCTCAGGTTCTGCTCAGTACCATTGCCTTTTTGGAACATTCCCTAAAACTTAGTTGGACATGATCTTTGTTTCCACTCTGTTTCTAGTTAGGATTCGTAACATATGTGTACATAGGTGCACCGCACACACATACACACGCAATTTGTTTTGGGCTGTCTAAAATGTGCAGCTTAGTGTTTCAATAAGACTTGGGAATTTGTAAATATTTACCAAAGGACAAGGAGGAAAAGGAAGAGTAAAAAGACTACACTGTAAACGACTTTGAATTTCTAAAATTGCTACCAAATTATGAAACCTCTTGCAGCCACGGTTCCTTCATGTATAAATCACCAATATTATTTTCCCTGCCAGATCTCTCAGCGAGAGCCTCTCACACTATAGTCATTGAGCTTGTCTCTTACAACAATGTACATATGGTAAATATCAGCTGTTTATGAGTGTAGTCCCCATCGTGGATTCTAACCCTCACTCACAAAGCTGGGGGAGCCTTAAATGAGACATTATATTTCAGTAATATACATTTGCTATCATTCTCAACATTGTCATTCACACTTTATTCTTATGGTCTTTTGATATTTCTCATTTCTGTTCTTTTTACTCTGTATTACAATGGGAAAGCCAAATATTTTACCTATTACAAACACACAAACACACACACAGACACAGACACACACACAGACAAACACACACAGACACACACGCACAAACACACACACAGACACACACACAAACACACACACAGACACACACACACAAACACAAATATCTGTTTGCTTAGAATTTCTGTCTGAATTGACATAAAGGGATCAGGACTGATTCCAAGAGAAAGAGCTTTCTCCTTTCCACAAGAAAGCAGTCTAAATGGCCTCTGAGTGTCAACAGGCCAACAGAGGGACAGAAGAAAATCTTTGGTTTTTCTTTCTGGCCTAGAATGCCAACCTCGTCTCTCCAGGGCTCAGTTCTTTTAGAGAATGCCTTTTTATTTCCCTGACACATGGAGTTGTAGTTCTTGTGTTGTATTCAGGGTCCAAAGAGCTATTATTGCAGAAGTGAACAGAGAAGACGAAACATGTGTTATTGTTGAAATATTGTTTGGGGAGTAAAAACTAATCTGAAAATGGCAATTAGGGAAAAAAACATGGAGAGAATGGAAAGGTCTTTGGAAATGAAGGACGATGGCTTGGGAGTGGACAACAATGATGAAAAAGACTCCATATGGTCACCAGAGCTTTGGAAACAAAATAGCTTTTATCCAAGAAAATAGCCTTTTTGTTCCACAGTTATTTTCTTATTACACCAGCAAAGGTAGTAAGTGCCTTGCATCTTTTATACATGTCTTGCTTTTAGTCCCTATATGATCTCCTTTATCTGAGGCAGTGACCAGATGGTCAACTATCTGGAAGTAAGTGGTGCTGAGGCCATTAGGACTCAAGGATCAAAGCCACAACCTTCATTGCTGCAGCTTCTTTCACAGAAACATGTCATTGGTAACTTGGCCTTGGCTGCCTTTATTTACAGGACAATGCATGGTTTTATCTGCACTTGACAAAGAGAACACATTGCACAGAAGCTCTAAGAGCATTCTGGCATTTGGCTTGAGGTAATTCTTCTGCCACTCTGTGGGGCTCAGGATTCTGATCCTGATGCTTTCAGAAATCTAAGAATGAGCTGAGGATTCTTACAAAAACAAAATGGAATTTCCAAGGCAAATCAAAAAGATAAACCAAGAGAGCACCCATTTACCTCATTTTCATTAGAAATATCCCAATGGGTTACCCTTCTGCCATTCTCCAATCTCTTGTTTCTCAGGATAATCTGACCTACAGCAAGAAGTGAATTGTCTGTAAGCTTATATAATTCTTATCACATTTACTACAGAGGAAGATAAACAAAGCACCTTGGCCAGGCATTGACTGCTCTGTGATCTTCCTGTAAAGCTGCGTTATCACTGGCATTGGGCATCCTCTGCTTAGCCACTGCGGGTGATTCCTTCCTCCAGCACCTGATATGGCACCTGATGCCTGCACACAGGCTGTCCCTACCCTCTCTCCTGTTACAGTCACTTCTTTGAATGAAGAGACCTGCCTTTACAACCTTCACATGATGAATACAATACCTCACACTTCTGAGCCCCATGAGTGACTTTTCTGTTTCATGAACATTTTGTAGGAGGTAGACATCACTCTGAAAATGCATATTAAATAAGTCTCGAAATGCCACAAGCAAATCCTATGCCTCATGTGAGGGTAGAAGCTGAGACACTAAGGAGGTTCTCTGACTCACGCTGAAATATCTTAGTCCAGGAAATTTTTCTTGATGATAAAATTGCGACAAATGCTTATGCTTATTTATGATCCATGTTTTACAGAACGTACAATTCATATCCTTTTCTTCTTCCTTCCAAAGGGGGACTTGCAAAGTTAATAGTATAAAAAGAAAAAAGTAAGACCGAAAAGGTTATTCACTATTAATAAAACTTGAAAGGCAATGGCCCATGTGCTAATCTTTCAGTAAACTGAAAATGTTTCAATACGCACATTCATGAATAGTAAGTGCTTTGAATTTTGGCAAATGTTATATAAAAGAAGAGAACAGAGAAGAAAAGGTCAGAATAGTAGAAATACAGGGACTTCTAGAAAACAAAGCTATGCATTTTTAGCAGGTCATCTTTGGCAGTCAACATCGTTTCCTTGAATGGTCACTATACTTTCACTAAAATATTACCATAAAGATTTTGTTTATGTTGATAACATCTTATAATCCAAAGTATCAAACCAGGGATCATCCAGCTTGTAAAGGGCAATGATAAGGGCTCAGAAGTTTTAGAATTGTAATTTTCAAGGCATTAGAAAACTAATTCTTGATTTCCATTATCATAAAAGCAAGATTCCCTTTTCTTTCACTAACCTTACACACCTACACATGTACATACTCAGAGAGACTCACACAGGAGGCCTTAACATAACTAGATATTGAATTAAAGCTCAAAAGCTCAGAACAGGATATTACATCACTACAAGGTAGATGTGGTTCAATTTACATGTAAGTCATACATTTTAATTCCATTGTCATGGGAAATTAAAGGGCAGTTTTTGCATAAGCACATGTTATTCTACAAGTTTTAAATGCAATTAGAATTCTGGCTTGCAAGAAAAATTTTTCCTGATTTGAAAGGTCAAAATTTGTGTCATATGGGTTTCAGAGCAATCTGTATTCAATAGTTTTAAACATTATGGTTATCACTGAATATAAATTTCAGATATACGGCAAAGTGGCTAAACATGTTGTACTTTTGTGTCAGGTTATAGATGTTAGAATCCATTTGCCTCTAAATTTCCTAAAGGTTTTGTTCTGGGATTAATTCCATAAAGATGATTTCCCATGTTTTCCTGTTTCACAACAAATTCTGATATACCTTTTATCTTTGAAAAAATATATGTATTCCACTTATAATCTCTTCTTGTAACTTATTTGAAAACATTCTTAAGATATTAAAGTTAATTTTTAAATGAAGATTTTGACCACTATGCATCCTGCTATCCCACTGGCAGGACAGAAGGATGGAAACATAATGCTAAAAATAAAAATGGTAAATATAAAAAAATTCAAAATTTAATAACTCCAACATGATATTATTATGTCACTAGCTAGGGAATTCCATTTTAATCATGGCTTATATGAGCCATTTGGTAAATGATATTTTTTAGCTACTTTCTTACTCAAACTTTCCTTCAAGTGCTCGTAACTGACAGCAAAATCTGAACAAAAAATTATTATGACCTCACTGAAAATCTATAACATTTTCTCACTCAAAATATTTACTTGATTGATATGTAAGCCATCACTCTTTTTCTCCATAAGCTATACATATTTAAATAGACACCAATATGGCTGCTTTAAAAATTATTGTTCTTTCATTTTAAAAATGAATTCCCAGCTGCACTTTAAAGATTACACTTTCAGTAGCATTTATCCTTTTTAAAGCTGTGATACGAACACAGGCTGAGATTCTCAGCTAAAAGGCCCAATAGAAATGAACAGGGTAATTATAATTATTTAAAAATGAGTAATTCTTAGCTGATTACTTCCTACAAGCATAACTAATCTAATGTTTCCCTTCCCATGAAATAATGGTTAAAATGCTAATTGTTAAGGCTTTATTAAACTTAATTGTCATTTGTCTCAGCTGAGTTCATTAATGATTAGCCATATCACTTCCCATTTTTGAAAAGAAAAGTCTTATGTAGTGATGACTGAGCAGGACCATGGGACAATGCCCTCCCTTCTTCCCCAGTTTCTCTTTATGCCTACAGAGACATCAGAGAGGAAAGGAGGGAGGAAGAGGAAATGGAGCTTAAAAATACATAGACGTTTTAATATCATGTCTTTATGCCCTTGGGTGGGAGGAGTGAAAATGATTTAAAAAGATTACCCTTTGCACCAAAGCTGCTAATTTAGCAGAACAGGCCTCAGTATTTCATTAAATGAGTGCAGGCATAGGCACAGGCAAAACAATGAAGAAACAGCAAAGTCGGCATGGAGTCCAGGACGAGGAGTTCTGAGCCTCTACGTGTTTCTCTACACAAGCCATAAGGAAATATGGACCCAAATATGGCCATGCTTTGAGCATTATAACCCCAGCTCCACTCCCCAGAGCCCTTGCCAGTGCCCTGGCTCACCCACACGCATTTTTACAATAGCCTTCCTCAGCCTTGGCTCTGTAGTCTGAGTGCTGCTCATCACGGCATCAAGCCTCTTCATTAATGGACACTTCTGAGAGGCGTAAAATGAATACACTTTTTTTTTCTTATAAACTCTGCCAATTCCATCTCATTATTCCTTATCATCTTCTCCTGTACCCTCATCCATCTCCCTTTTCAGTGTTCACACCCAACAGATATTTGTAGACATTTATTATGGCTTTCCCTGGTCGTCACTTAGGGAAGTTATTCATATTGAATTCATTTAACGTGTCTTCATAAATCAATGCAAACAGCCCCTTAATCATTTTCATTGCTTTTCCCTAAACTCTCATCAAGTTTGCCCAGTCTTGCACACACAATTAGGAATCCAAAGGCCAAATAAATACTCTAATATATGGGTACACCAGATCTACTGGGAAGCTACTATTCTTTCTTCCTTGCTTAAGGTGATGATCTTATGTTTACAGTTGTAAATTTCATAAATTCCCTGAAAAGAATCTGCCATTCTTCCATATAGGAGGATTTTAATTCCCCCAATCACACAGTTGGTTATCTGGGCAAAAGCTTTTATTACCTGTGAAGAGATTAAGATACTCAAGTATCAGCTAAGACTTGGGTGATGTGACATGTGTCTCCATTGGACACCATTATATTATAGTTGAGTTCACTTTAATATATAAAAATTTACACATTGCTCCTTTTTCAGAAAATTATATTATCTGGAAATATCTAGGTAAATTTAACAGACCCAAGAGATTATGAAAAGGACATGTTTTTATATTATGTTTTGGAGCCAGTAGTACTTATGATAAAGACAGCTAAAAGCTGCATAAAAGTCAGTATAACATGAATCCTAAGAGTTTGTCACAGCTTAAGAAATTTTTTTTTTTACCATTTCTTGACATATACTATTCCTTTTATTTTGAAGTTAAGTTTTCCCTTTAAGTTATCCCTTCAGGTTGCTGCTGCCATCTTCACATTGTCCCTGTGCCCCGACCACACACACACACAGACACACACACACACACTCACACACACACAAGGCCAGAAGGATGTCACACCTCTTTTAATACCTTTTCTAATCGGCTGCATCTATGTTCATGTGCAAATATCTCCAAATCTCTATTGCTGCACATGGCTGATGGTCACAGGTTAAAATTAGGTACAATGGCCAGATGCCGTGGCTCACGCCTGTAATCCCAGCACTTTGGGAGGCGGAGGCGAATGGATCACAAAGTCAAGAGATCGAGACCATCCTGGCCAATATGGTGAAACCCTGCCTCTACTAAAAATACAAAAATTAGCTGGGCGTGGTGGCACATGACTGTAGTCCCAGCTACTCGGGAGACTGAGGCAGAAGAATCGCTTGAACCCTGGAGGCAGAGGTTGCAGTGAGCCAAGATCATGCCACTACACTCCAGCCTGGCGACAGAGTGAGACTCCATCTCAAAAAAAAAAAAAAAAAGAAAGTTAGGTACAAGTATATCACTTGGGTGGTGGAAACACTATACCCCAGATTCCACCACTACCCAACATATCCCCACGTATCAAAGCTGCACTTGCATCCCTGGCATTTATATGAATACAAAATTAAATAAATAAATAAATAAATATTGTAACCCCAATTCAGGACACACTGGGAGGACCGAGAACCAAACACTTTACTCAAAAGAAGAAGACTTGGGTTTGAATCCAAGCTCTTCCACTCACTGTGTCAGCATTTGTTATGAAACACGCCAGTTTGACTGAGGCATCATCACCAGTGATCTCAATTTAATTCCAAATCCCAGACCACAGGAAGATCGAACAAGTGCAGACATAAAAACAGCAGAACACTCAGGGAACCTAACAAGCCCCCTGTAAGCAGAGGTGAGAAACAGGAAATTCTGGTTGAGCTGACACATATGCTTACTTTACATATTCTGAAAAAACGCCACTTAACTGAATTTGTATGTATCAAAAGAGAGAGCATCTAGCTCTCCTTTAAGGTTAGATGGTCTTCAAATAAGAATAAATCATCCTTTCCTTGACATTTTGATAACCTTTGGGGCTTAAATTGGACCAGCCCTGACCAGGTAAAGAGAAGCAGGAAAAATCCAAATTGTGTTAATTTCCATTGAGGAATACAAGTGTCAATTGTTCTTCTTTCAAATGACAAAAATATGTTTTGCAATAAAAAAAATTCTATATATTTGTGAGGAATAAAAATCCAACCTATCTGATACTTTCATTCGGAAGTATCATAAGCACATTTTAATTCCTCTAGAACAAAATATTTTAAAACTAATGTATAAATGCTAAATATGTCCACTGAAATTTTGGCCAATTCTGGTTACTCTATATAAACAGCTTTTCTTCTTTAAAGTGGGGACCTAAAACTCCCTATAGTTGAAAGACTAGATTTTCTGAAATGTCTCAAATTTTAATTTGTAATCCAGTGTTATAGCTGTAATAACATGCCACATCGATGTCTTAAAAAACTAATTCATATAAATTGGGCCCGTTTTATCCTCTCTTCAAGAAAGTGCAAACAAATAAACAATTTTTAAAGAATCCTTTTATTTAAAGGGTCTTGTGTATGTTTATATACAGGAGAAGGTGGTAGAAAGAATTTTAGAATATGCAGTATTTTAACTGAAAGTATAGGAATTTTAAAATATTATAAAACTTATCAACTTAGGCAAAAAACATGTTAGCTAAAACAAAATAAAATACTAAAAACTAATTTTTATCAAGCATCGACCCTATGCCAGGGGTGGCTCTTAGCCCATACTGTTCGCTGTGGCAGCCCTTACTCTTACGAGGTTGCAGAAAAGTTGAATGTGGCTGTTTCCAACTGAAATGTGTTATTCAGTGTAAAGTACAGACTGGATTTGGAAAACACAGTATAAAAAGGTACGTAAAATAAATCAATGATTTTTATTTTTATTATATGTGGAATGATTATATATATTCAGTTAAATAAAGCAAATGTTAAAATTAATTTCATTTTTTTTCCGTGTTTAATGTCGTCCCCAGAAAATCTAAACTTCTCCGTGCTACTCTCCTCACCTTCCTGTAGGGCAGCGGTGTTGAAGCGCTTTACCTCGTCATCTCCGTTAAACCTGACCACACTCTCACGTGGTAGGTGCCATTGTGTCCTGTCTTGCAGATGACTAAACTGAGGCACAGGGTTGGAGCCCAGCGGTCCAGCTGTAGATCCCATGGCTCCTGGGCTCCTATAGTCTTGAACAATTTTCAAAGTCATGCAAACATGCTCTAAGGACACAGTAATACACAGTAATACCTTTAGTCATGCAATTTTTTTTTAAAGAAACAATAACTGCAGTGTGCTTCACTGTTGAAATCAGAATCAGAGAAAATGGATTCCATTCATGCTTTGCATTCAGTATCTGCGTGGTTTCACAGGGATCCAAACTCGATGACAGCAGCCCACACTGGCAACATGGTTACACGTTCAACTTCCACTCTTCCCCAGATTCCCATTTTTAAATGGCTGGTCAGAGGACGACCTTTCTCTCCAGAGCAACCCCAGTCTGACCCTTTGGTCCCATGGGGCCCTTTGCTGAATGCACACAGCCCAGGTCTGTGCAGTCCAGTGACAGATGTGCTGCCTGAGAAGGGCTCACCTGTGAGGCTCCCTGGGAAGGGCCTGGCTGGTGCTGTGAGCGCCAGAGCTCCGTGGGGCGGCTGAGGCCCTGCTGAGACCGCATCGCTTTCAGACTCTATCCTTGCTCCAAACTGCATCATTCGCTTCCTCATGGCTTGCTTGTGCGTCCCTCCCGTTACACTTTCTGTATGCAATGTCACAATCTGTTTTCTGAGGAAATGGACCTAAGACAGACGGACTCCTAGTTGTTCAGTAGCAGGAGGTTCCTCAGGTGTGAGTTACTGAGCCTTAAATAATATTGTACCTTAGACTCTGGCCTTCCAGCGCACACCAGCTCATCAAGGTCAACCTTAAGATCAGCCTTATCTACGAGACACATTGAATTTGGTTTTGATTTTTGAGACAGGGTCTTGCTCTGCTGACCAGGCTGGAGTGCTGTGTTGCGAACACAGTTCACTACTGCCTCAACCTCCCAGA
The DNA here is from genome assembly GCF_000001405.40 of Homo sapiens. Classification (NCBI taxonomy): domain Eukaryota; kingdom Metazoa; phylum Chordata; class Mammalia; order Primates; family Hominidae; genus Homo; species Homo sapiens. The sequence continues at coordinate 4,475,583 of NC_000010.11, read as the reverse complement.
GCTCAAGCCACCCTCCCACCTCAGTTTCCCGAGCAGCTGGGACTCTAGGCGTGCCACTATACCTGGCTAATTTTTTTACTTTTTGTAGAGACAGAGTCCCAGTATGTTGCCCAGACTGGTATTGAACTCCTGGGCTCAAACAATCCTCCTGCCTCAGCCTCCCTAAATGCTGGGATTACAGGCATGAGCCACTGCACCTGGCCTGGGCCATGTTGTTAAACGTGATCCAAATATAATCCTTGTGGTGTAGTCGCTGAGAAATGCCGTTGGCCTCTTCCTAGTCTCCCTTTATGGATGGTGGGAAGAGGAGGATTCACTTGTCCTCCTGGGATGCCCCAAGAGCCAGGGCAGCTGTGTGGACATATTTCCAGGGCATTCAGGAGAATGGGAGTCTCAGCCTGTGGTCTCTCCTTGTCCATCGGCCTCCTTGGAGAATCACTGCTCAATCAAGCGCTTGGGCAGGTCTCCCACTGTGGGAACCAAGTCCTTTCTGGTTCCCGTGGTTTTTCAGGTACTGCGGTTCTTATTCGGGGAATCTGCATGCTCTGTGGTTGCCATAGGTGAGTTCCTGCCTGTCACTTCAGTTTTAAATAACTGACATGTTTACTCATTGACGAATTTGACACTGATTCACTTCCTGATTATTTAAGGCCAGCAGTAACTTAAAGAATTCTTTACAATGTCATCCACATCCATGTAGAGGGCCCAAGCAAAACGTGCCTCTCGCAGCCTTCCTGGGAGCCTGTTTCTATTTTTCCTGATTGCCATCAACTGAGCTCAGGGGTACAGATTCCCCCTCAAGTCTCTCCTCAGCAGGCAGTTCTTTTGGTGAATTATCTGATTTGTCTTCTTCCATTTTCAGAATACAGTTTATACACATGCAGTATATACAGTCATCCCAACAAATTTTTTTAAAAAAAGAAAAGGGAAAAACTTCCTCTCAGGGATATCTTATACTTACTGGGTGCAATAAATTTCCATAACAGGGAACTTCTCTTCTTACAGCTCCTGCAATCATAACAAAGAAGCCTATTAGTGCCTGTGAACTTCAGCATTACTTCCCAGTCACCAACAGCTTATTTGGGTTGCATCTTATCTCCTCTGAAGACTATTGGGATCTTCAAATACCAGTTCCTTTTTCCTAATCAAAACCAGAAGTCGGTGTTCCAAGTATCTGCTAATGAAGAGAAAATCAGGGCATCATTTCTAATTGTTTTCAGTCCTGTGACTACAATCAAGTACATGCAGATTTTACCAACTCTTCCACAATCTTAAGGTTCCTGATTTTTTTTTTTTACTTTTTTCTTTATATCCCAGGAAGCCGACCCCCTGAGGATAGTCCTAGACATGGAATGAAGACAGATAACTGGGATACTTAGAGCAGCATAGACTGGGTGATTCCAGGGAAACCCATTCATCCTGTTCTCTGATCCTTGCTGTGATAAGCTTTAGCAATGTGGCTTAGGTAACTGCTGTCAGAGAAGGCTACCAAGGCTATTAGAAACATCAACATATCCTAAGGATCTTCTCTGCTGATCTATTCCAGAAACTGGAATACTCTCAATCAATTCTCTTTCCCTTGCTTCCCACGTGCATAAAGGCTGTCCCGATCCATTTCTCCCCATTTCTCCTCTATGTCTTTCAAATCTGCCAACTTTCCTTCATCTTGTCTACAGCTACCTTAGTTTGGACTGTTACTATCTATAACTTAGGTGATGGGTTTCCTCACACCTAACCCATGACTCTCTCCAAAACTTTCATCACTCCACAACCCGAGCATCTATCCAAAATGCAGTGTTGTTCGTGACACTCCTCCCCCTCACTTACCACCTATGATGACCTACTATGAATTTTAGAGGGTAACAAATCCTTAACTTCTGGCTCCTGTTTACCTTTATCCTCATCTGGTATTACTGCTCTGCTCACCTCCTACACTACAGCAGCACTGGTCCTCTCAGTGCCCAGGGCACCCCATGCCCGCATCCACTATGGGGCCATTCTTCCCTCCGCAGTTACCATCCTAACATTACTTCCTAGTTATTGCCTATAGTCCTGCAGACTTTAGGACACACATATAGCCATGAAACTTTCTCCTGTCTTGGTAGGTTTCCTTCATTACTATGCAATTTCAGGTGACACTCATGTTTTTGCCTTCAAAACATTTCTCTCAGTTCATGATACAGCATTGAAAGCAAATATGTGGTTAATGTCAGTCTCCTCCAGACTGTGTTCCTCATGAAAGCAGGACATAAGTCTGGCCCAACTGGTGGGAATTTCTCTTTTTTATGACTTTGTGTAAAGTCATATACAGTTGTTTTTAAAACACTTCTTGACAAAATGAATAGGAGCGTCTGCAACAAAAACATCTCCTAAACAAGCCAGAATGATTTTTACATGTCTTCTTAGAGAGTATCTAACCCAGTGTGTTATTGGTCAGTTTAGGCTGCCATAACCTGGGTGAGTTAAGCAACATAAATTTATTTATCAGGCTGGGCATGGTGGCTCACGCCTGTAATGCCAGCCCTTTGGGAGGCTGAGGTGGGCAGATCTTCTGAGGTCAGGAGTTCCAGACCAGCCTGGCCAACATGGTGAAACTCCGTCTCTACTAAAAACACAAAAATTAGCCATGCGTGATGGTGCATGCCTGTAATCCCAGCTACCTGGGAGCCTAAGGCAGGAGAGTCGCTTGAACACCTGGGAGGTGGAGGTTGCAGTGAGCCAAGATGGCACCATTGCACTCCAGCCTGGATGACGGAGTGAAACTCCGTCTCAAAAAAAAAAAAGAAAAAAGAAAAGAAAAGAAATTTATTTCTCACTTTCCTGCTGGAGGCTGGGAAGTCCAAGATCAGGTGTAGGTACTAATTCTGTCTCCAGGGCACAACTCTCATGACGTCATCTAAATGGATAATAGTAACATCCCAAATGCCCCACCTCCAAATACCAACACATTGGGGGTTAGGGCTTCTACATAGGAATTTTGGGGGACACAACATAGTCCATATCTCAGTCCGATGATGTCTCTCATGACATGTGCCTTTCTGTATGGCTTCATTAACTTCTTATAGTCTATGTTTTTCATATTACTGGGCTAATATTTAAGCAAAATATAATATTGGTGAAGAGGTTGAGGTTGAATCAATCGAATGAAAGAAACTAAGATGAAATTGGAAATCTGTACTTGAATTCGCCTACTTTGCAGTTTTGCTTTTGAGTAGGAAAATTGGACATGAATCTTGGGTCACAAAGTCAAGAGCTTAGTGATCTATCTTATATGTCTGCTTTGTCCTTAATATAGCATCTCAAATCCTCCAGTGAACAGTCCCATTGTCTTCCCAGACACTCATACATGTCTGTGAATAATTCATTCTCTCCTGTTCTTCACTTATAAACTCAGCCTCACTTCCTCTAACCAAAGACATCAACATTTTCATAGAATGTTAAACTGAAGTTATCTTCCACAGGTCATCTAGGTAAGGCTAATAGAAAACTTAGTGACTGGCACATAGATGACTCTAAATAAATATTTCAATTGATTTAATAGTTGTTTTCACCAGGGCTCAGGAAACACTATTTAAACATTTCAGCAAGGAGTGGCTGAAGGACTTAACTCTGGCCATGAAAAGGAATAGAAATCGGCTGGAACTAGCATCAGCTCACCTCTTTTGCTTTTTTTTTTTTTTTTTTTTAATTTTTCTTTTGAGACAAAGTCTCACTCTGATGCCCAAGCTGGAGTGCAGTGGAGTGATCTCAGCTCACCGCAGCCTCCACCTCCCAGGCTGGGACTGCAGGCATGTGCCACCACACTAGGCTAATTAGGCTATTTATTTTTATTTTATTTTTTTTGGAGAGACAGGGTCTCAGCATGTTTCCCAAGTTGGCCTCGAACTCCTGGACTCAAGCAATTCTCCCACCTTGGCCTCCCAAAGTGCTGGGATCACACAACCATCCACCCAGCCTCTTTTGCTTTCTTGATCTAAAGTAGACATGAGGCTAGCAAAGCTTATCCACTTTTGTTGTGCCTTAAACACAAAAAAAGATGCTTGAAACTGTCACGGCTGGGATGGCACCAGGGAGCAAATGACATACGGGAAGAACACGGGTATCTCAAAGCCTGCGGGTCACAGGTTGCTGAGATGCTGACGCAGTGGCAGGCAGCACATCCTCTAGCCTTCTTGAGAGATGATCTTAGGAACAAATGGATTCTTAACATGGACAGTTCTTTATTCAGACACAAAAAAACACTGTAAGAAAAATGCTGGCACCATTTAAAAACCTTATTATTAACTTTGTTCACAAACAGCATAAGGAAGAAATATATAAAAAGTAGCACTGAAAAAATACTTTTGAATTGACTGCTGGGAAAAAAAAGCTTATTGTAACAAGTATAGAGAAGAGTATGGCAATTTTAATGGAAATAGTAATGTATTTTTAATATCTATGTTACATATGAAATGATTTATCGTTTATTAACAAAGTAAGGCTAAAGTTTATATTGAAGTTAATGCATATATTAATCATTAATTATTGGCTCTAATCAATTCTTTGTAAAACCTTTTTCTACTTGTCTATCCGAGCATGTCCATCCTGATCCTTATAGAAGCCTTCACTTATTTTTGGCTTATTAAACAGATTTAAAAAAAAAAGCCTATCTGAAAGACCCGTAAGGGCTCTGTGTTATATTCTGAATTATGAGCAATGTAGCATGGCTGCAACATTATTAGAATGGCTGTGATTCATTTGAAATTTTTTATTAGAGAGATTATAGGTGGTGACCTCTATAACTGCAATACTTGAGCCCTTCATCAAAGCAACTTTTCAAAACTATGATTGAAAACTAGAATCAAAATCAGAATGACAAGTAGGACACTGAGTTTTATAGCACAATTCCAAACAGGAACTGAGCAATTAAAATAGTGAATGATGAGAGCAGTTATGGTGCTTTTGGCTTCAGGGCAAATAGAAGTTTCAAAATGTCTTAACTGTAGCGATTTGCCGTGTTCTAGTTTTTCTAAAGTTGGTGACAGTTTCCGTAAGGAAATACACATTCATAGAAAAATACATTCATAGAAATGAAATACAGAGAAATATTTCCAACATTAACCCAAACCATTCTGATTGTGCAATACATTGATAGCTAAGTTGGAAAGGAAAGGAAGAATTTCTGCTCCTTTAAGTACCATTGTCTATGACAATAATTCAAGGCAGGCTCATCAAGTCTAAATTCCTTATGCATGCATCCATGGGGGTGAGTCAACCTTGATAAAATGAAAAGATTCCTGGCCTTGAAGGGGTCTGGGAGTGAATTGCAATCACTGCTACTGGCTTTTTAGAGGCAGCAAACTCAGTGGATACGAATTTAAGTTTTAGAATCAGGCATGCTTGCTCTTAGGTGCTCAGTGAAAATTTCACTTAATGTGTCGAATCTTCTTGCTCCTCTGTTACATGAGGGTAGCAACACTTGCTGGAATGTGGCTGTGATGGCTGAATCTGGCAATGCACTTGGAGCGCTGGCTACACTGAGCAGGCAGCAGGGCCCACAGGAGTGGCTGAAATGTGCAGAAAACGCAAGGGCAGCCTTGTTCTGTTCAATGGAAAAGCAAGATCACAAACAAAAATGTCATTAGCACCTACAGTACCTTAACATTAGCAGTAGCTTTTTACTTTTATTTTTATTGTGTGCATTAAAACCCCATAGCATGCACTAAGATTTCCAGAACACATTTCAGACCTCAAGATCTGTGAACAGTGAACAGTGAGGATAAAGAGCCATGGAGAAATAATTGTGATCATTTCCAAAGAAGAGCAGAAAAGCTGTTAGATTTGGTGAGATGGAATGGATCTCACCATTCTATTCTTAGTTGTTGGATTAGGCGGATAGAATCTCCATGGCCCAGTAAATCAAGAAGAGTGATAAAGAAAAGAAATGGCATTCATAAGGGTATGTAGGTTAGAAGGTTTCTCTAGAAAGGGGAAGTTATTTGTGATAAGAAAATTGAGGCTAAACTTAGAAAATTTAAGCAGAGAAAAGAGTGTTGAAGCTCTTGATCTTGCCACTAAAAATCCATATTCTATGAGGTTTTCTTGTTTAAGCATAAGATAATTTAGAAGCAAATGTCACTGTAGCTCCAGTGTGTAATAGACAGAAAGCAGACTTTTGAATTAGGAATATCTGGTTGAAAATCTAGCTCTACTTCATATTAACTATGTGCTGTTGGACAAATAATTTGGACTTCCCAATCTTCTAGTTCCTCATCCACAAAAAGAGGTGAACACTTACTAGGCAGAATTATGATGAGGATTAAATGAATTAGTAGACGTGAAACACCTAGCGCAATGCAGTAATATGCAGTAGGTATTTGGTGGACATTAGTTCTAATTTATTCATTTATTACATATCCTATATAAATTATTACACATCATTTCATGATATTGTAAATCTAATATTTGGGTGGGAAAATAAACAATAGCCTTTCAAACAATGAATTGAAGTTATACTTACATTTACAATATCATGTTTAAGTTCTAGAAAACACCTAGTGGAATAATTAATTGTGAAAAATATTATTCCTTAGTGCATTTCTGCCTGATTGAATTAGTTAGTATTTGAGTATTGGTGTTCAAAGTAGACCGCAATACTTTAAGAATATCATTTAGCCACTCAATTTTGCTTTTGTTCTTGTTCAAAAGGTGAAAGGTGTGGGAATGAAGAGCTGTTGGATATTTAATGACCTCTCTGAAAAGCCACCAACACAATATCTTCTCAAGTAACAACAAATTATTATGAGTTTTCAAACAGGTTTCTATTCAAGGGGTATCTTAATCTGTTCAGACTGCTATAACAAAACAACAAATGGGTGGCTTAATCAATAAAAATGTATTTTTTATAGTCCAAGAGCCAAGCTCCAGTAGGTTCAGTGTCTGGGAGGAATCTCTTCCTGGTTTGCAGATGACCATGTGTTTGTTGTGTTCTCACATGGCCTGGTGTGGGGAGGTGGTTAGGAATCTCAGTCTCTCCTTTTTCTTCTTATAAAACACTAATCCTATCATGAGGGTCCCACTTTCATGACCTAAATACCTCTCAGAGGCCCCGCCTCCTAATATCATTACATCTGGTTTAACGTTCAACATATGAATTTTGGAGAGAGACATAAATGTGTATGTCTCTCTGTATGCTGTGTTAGGATCACTATCAAACTACTAAACATAATGATAACCCATAAAGCGGTTATCATTATGTTTAGTAGTTTGATAGTGATCCTTACATACCATTAATTTAAAACAAGCATATAATTAACTTCAACTCAAGATTATTAAATGGGGGAAGAAGAATCATCCTATCTAAACTAAAGTCTTAGTAATTTATATAGTTAGTAACAGTTTACTAGTTAGTAAAAATTTTTATAATGAGGAATCTGTTTTTCATGTGGCTATATATATATATATATATATATATAAAACTATATATATTTTTTAATTAACTGAAAATCTAAAATAATGAAAATACAGAATAGGTCATGCTTTTATAAAAAATAGTATAAAAAATTAAGTGACAGATGCCGATGTCAGAACTAATCAGTAGAACACTATAAACTTGTGCTATGGAGAAGGAGGTAGGAAAGAAAAAAGAAGAGTGTATGATGCCAATTAGGTCTTTGAAAAATGAAATCAATTTCAAAAAGAGCAATTTGGCATCATATATGTTGACTGTAGTTAGTATCCATCAAAAACAAAATAAAAACAAAGACAGCAAATATATCACACAAATAGGCAAAGGTCAGCACAGCTACATAAAGCACAATTTACTGGCAGCTCAAGCTGGAGATTTTTATGTCCCTTCAGAACCTTGCTTGACTCATTGGTTTAGAGTAAGATTCATTTAAGTGATTATTTTTGAAGGAATAGGAGCAGTGGGGCCAAGGCTACCCTTGATAAATCATGCAATGAGTTTAAGTGTTACTTCACTAAACCTTTGAAGGAAGGTTTAAAGAAATGTACTTAAATGCTTAGGCCAAAGGCTATAATCTCCATTTGCATTTGTCAATTTAGCAAAAACGTTAAATGCTGACATTCTATCAAGAAAGAGAGAGAGGAGAAGGAGGAGGAGGCAAAGATGGAAGAGGAGAAGGAGGGTGGAGAGGAGGAGGAGGAGATAGAACAAAGAGGAGGAAGAGGAGGAGAAGGAGAAAGAGAAGAATGAGAGAATGACGGGCTAACGAAGAAACACCCAGACAGACATGCTGTCTTGCATCTCTTTCATTGCCATGAGAAGAATATTGACACTAGTCTGCTGATTCCAGAGGTAGGATGAGAGACATGGAGCAGAGCTGAATCACCCAGTGGAGCCCAGTCTAGTTCAGAGGATTAATATCTAAGTACCGAGTGCATGGCTGAGCCCTGTCAAGATCAGCAGAGCCTCCCCACCAAGCCCAGGGTGCCTTCTGAACCTCAGAAGATGCAGAGATCTGTGACGACGCATGATCGTTGCATTAAGCAATGAAATTGAGGGAAGGTTTGCTGAAAGGCATATTATAGTTATAGCTGACACATAGGCAAATGTCCAACACTATGAAGTTAATTAAAAATTTGAGTACATCTATAAGTTGCATAATATAAAATGCATATATTAAATGCATTATTTAATATGATAATTTATGTGAATATTTAATCACATTAGATAAATGAACTTTACATATTATATATTTAGCATCCAATATAACATTGTAAGTAATAAGGTATTTCAAAGTAACCAGCTAGTTTGATTTTGACTTTCTAAAAAGAATAAAATAGATATAAAGACACATAAATGGTAAAAATATTAAATAAGTGTATTAAATACAAAGAAAAGTCATTCAAAATAGAGTTTGAATAAGGCTCCTTGTTCAGCATTATTTCATCACCTTTTTAAAAAAAATGGTGTTTGCCTACAAAATAAAGGCACAAGAACTTAAAATTTTGAATTTGTATTAAATATTTTTTCTTATGATGATTCCTACAGGGTATTCTTGGACATAATTTATTAAAATCTCCATTCCTGGAGATATTCAATAATTTATTTAGGTACTCTAGTGGAATTTTTCAATTTTTGATATATTGAACAATTTATTTCAAATTCAGTTGCTTAATTATTAAAATCTGCATTGTGGTTTATAAGTTTTCCAGGTAAAATATATCATAATGATCCAGCTAGATTGTCTGATATACCTTCCAGTTCTAACAGTCTAAAAATCTATTCAACTACTTCAGATACCTTTGGGTTTTCTTAGATTGACCATGAAAAATGAGCTCCATTCTTCTGTGGAGAAGGCATTCATCCACTTTGTGCTGGGAGTCAGAGGGGGACAGAGAAGAATTTGTTTTCCAACAGTGAAGTGACTCTAACAAAATGTACATCTTTATTATCCAGCATTATCAATTTGGATAATTTGATGATAAGGCAAGTAATGAAAATATCATCATTTGCAAACAATCGCCAATGGAGTACTTATTTTAGGACACAATTGTCCTTTATGTAAAAAAAAATTAAAGGCTCACAATAAATGTTATTACATCAATTAGCCAAATAGATATCATTTAAATGATTCACCTAGGAGTGATATTTTTGCAAACTTACCAACAAATGACATGTTTATTCATTGATTCCCTCTTGGAATCTAAATGCTGATCTCAGAGTGCCTTTGGGGATTTTTGGGAAACTCTTAAATTTTTTCAGATTATAAGATTTCTTAGAAATTTTGATGTGATCATCTAGGAGCTGCTGTGTACAAATAAAGGTGCCAGGAGTATTTATGGAAAAGAAGAAAAAAAATTAAAGCAACTGAGGACTTATATTTCTAGCTAAGATGCAGTCACGGGACTTAGATTTATCCTCTCTCCTACAATAATGAAAAAACATATGCAATATTAGAGGCAATGAGTTTTAAGACATTGGACAGCAGGCATCAAAGTGGAGAAATCTTAGAGGAACGGGAAACCAATGAGATAAACTCCAAATTTCTGAAGCCTATTTCCTGGAGACAGTTCCATGCAAAGCTCAGAGATGGGAAGCCAGGGAATGCAGCATCCTACTTGAGTTAAGGAGATAAAGCCTGGAGAGGCCAATGCAGCTAAACCACACAAGGCTAAGAACTAGTGAGGAGAGCTGGACAGAGAGACCACTGAGGATTTGCAGAAGGTCTCTCTTGTCTCTTCAGCTGAAAACTGATCAGTGCAAGGGTAGGAGGAAACTACTGTAGTCTGGGTAAAGAACCATCTAAAATGATTAGGAAAGTAATCCCTGAAACTCACACAGAGCCAGACATATTTTCTGTTCCCAAAACCAAGAGTAGAAATCTTATAGTTTATAGGTCACTGGGTAGAATACTTAAAAGGGTTTTGCCTCAAGGAGCAGAAGAAAGTTAATCCTAAATAAATGCTACCCTGGTCCTATCTAACAAAGATTAAAAATAAGAACCTGAGAGATTGAACTACTACCAAGAAATGAAACTGCATCTTAGAATAGAGCTCAATAATATTTATAGGAATGCAAAAATTATTCATGAAACAAAAAGATAAAATTCCAAATGGTTGTTATTCATTAAAAAATTACAGGCATTCAATGAAACAGCAAAATAGAATTCATAATGATGAGAAAGAAGTCAATAGATGGAAATTAACACAGAAATGACATATGCATAATGTATAGACCAATATGCAGAAATTATAACCGTATTTCATGTATTCAAAAAACTAGAGGAAAATATGAGCATGTTATATAGAGACTTGGATAATATTATAAAAGACTCCAATTAAACTTCTTGCAAAAAACCCACAATGTCTGAGATGAAAAATCTGGATCTCCACAATGAAATAAAGAACATTAAAAATGTTAACTGTGTGAATAACAATGATTTTTTTATTATACTACACTACACACACACCCCAAAGAGATACAGTTTATAAGTCAACAAGGAAAATTATGTAATTGAATAAGTCAATTAGAATGATTAAATAATGAAATTATTAAATTAACCCAATAAAAGAAGAAAAAATAGGAGGACAAACAAAAGATTAATCAAACAGGAAAAACAATGAATATAGTAGATTTAAATCCAACTGAATCGATAATTATGTTAATATAAATGGTCCAAACAGAACAATTAAAAGGCAAGAATTGTAACACTGGCTAAAAAATAAATAGGCAAATACAGAATGCCCACGAGGGACCCTTTTTAAATATAAAGGCACAAATAAGCTATGAGTAAATAAAAGAAAAGTTATACAAAGTTACTATGGATTAAAAAATAGTTGAAACTGCAACAAAAGCAAAAATGGACAAGTGAGACCTAATTAAACTAAAGAACTTCCACGCAGCAAAACAAACTATCAAGAGACTAAAGAGACAACCTACAGAACAGGAGAAAATAGTCACAAACTATGCATTCAACAAGGGTCTAATATTCAGAATCTACAAGGAACTTAATTCAACAAGCAAAAAAATGAAATAACCCTTTAAAAAGTCGGCAAAAGGCATGAACAGGCACATCTCAGAAGAAGACATACAAGGGGCCAAAAAACATGAAAAATGTTCAATAGCACTAATCATCAGAGAAATGCAAATCAAGACAACAATGAGATACCATCTCATACCAGTCAGAATGGCTATTATTAAAAAGTTAAAAACAGTAGAGCTGGCGAGACTGTGGAGAAAAGGGAATGCTTATACACTGCTGGTAGGAATGTAAATTAGTCGAGCCACTATGGAAAGAAGTTTGAAAATTTCTCAAAAAGCTTAAAATAGAGCTATCATTTGATCCAGCAGTCTCATCGTGGGTATATATTCAAAAGAAAATAAATTGTTTTATCCAAAAGACACGTGCATTCACGTGTTTATTGAAGCACTCGTCACAATAGCAAAGGCATGGAATCAACATAAATACCTATCAACAGTGAATTGAATAAAGAGAAAGTGTTATGTATACACCCCGAAATACTATGCAGCCATAAAAAGGAATAAACTCATGTCCTTTGCAGCAACATGGATGACAGCTGGAGGCCATGATTCTAAGCAAATTAATGCAGGAATAGTACAACAAATACCGCTTGTTTTCACATATGAGTGGGTGCTAAATATTGGATTCATATGGGCATAAAGACAGCAACAATAGACCCCTGGGTCTACTAGAGGGGGGAGGTTCTACAAACGACCTATTAGGCACTATACTCACTACCTGGATGATGAGATCAATTGTACCCCAAATCTTACCCATCACACAACATACCCTTATAAGAAATCTGCATATGCACTCTTGGATCCAAAATAAAAGTTGAAATTTTTTTTTTAATAGCTGAAATGCCTATACTTTTAAGCAAAGTAGATTTTGAAGTAACCATTACTCTTAGGGATCAAGAAAGTCATTTCCTAATGAAAAATGGTTCTGGTCATCTTCCCTCTGGCTGTATGTGTTCATCAACAGAGTTTGACTTCAGATTAATTGAGATTAAAGTTTTCTTCACCACTGAAGAAGCTCCCTGAATAACAGCAGTGGGTACCTATCTGTGTTCTTCCATGTTTATCATAGATTTTTCCTTCTTTTGTTCATAGAGCTTTAGTTTCACTTTGGAAAACGTCCTTGCCTCCATTCTGTGCAGTCTTGTAGACTCAATCTATGTGTCCAGTCATTGACGACGGGCTTCTTTTCCAAGGCACTGGATCCCTGTAGAGAGGGACAGGGAGGGAGTGAATAGTTGATGGATTCATGTCAATGCCTTGGGAAGACTGCTCATTAGCTCTGGCCGACCTAGTTCTGATTCTTCCCGTTTATTCAGTTTTGTCTTCAATTTTGTCAGCTACATAAGCTGACATATGTCAACCCTTCAACTCTTACTTATAGTGCTTTCTCAATTTCTCATCAAACTCCAGCCATTTCGGTCTCCCCTCTTTTCTTTGAACTTTCCAATCTCCTTCTTCTCAAGATCCTTGCAATCGGTGCTCCCCCTGCCTGGTGAGCATTCCTGCAGTTCCAAATACATCTGGTTCCTTCTCATGATTTGCATCTTAGTCCAAATGTTACTTCTTCAGAGAGGAATCTTCTGACTGCATTATCTACAAAGACATGGTCACCTACCTAGCACTGCTGTGTTTTTCTCTGTAATAGGTGTCAGCACATTAAGGCCTCAGGTGAACCACAGCCCAACAGTTGGTTTTCTAAATAAAAAGTTTCATTGGAATACAGCCACACTATTCATTTGTTTAGTATTGTCTATGGCTGCTTTCACTCTTGAAGTGGCAGAGTTGAGTAGTTGCAACAGTAACAGTATGTCTTACAATGCCTAAAATCTTCCTAAATCTTTAAAGAAGCTTTCTGATTCCAGTGTCATGCTATTCCATGTATTCACTTATATAACTTATCACTACCTGCCATTATCGTATTCATGTTTTTAGTTGAGTGACATCGTTCCTTCCCAACATTGTAAGCGTTATGGACAGTGGGCAACTTACCTGCTTTTCATAAGCTATGCATTCTTAATACCTATCTAGTGCCTTCTGAGAGTAGAATCCTACAAATATTTGTGGAGTGCCTGAATGAATAAATGAGTATAACTTATCAAGAAGTACTCAACAAATACTACCCATGCCATCTCTAGCATTTCATATATACTCTAGATGACATGTTCTTCTCACATGCAGTTGAATGGACTATGAACAGGTGTCTAAATCAAGAGTAGCCAATAAGTAGACCAGCCAAAATTCCATGACTGCTGGCAAAAAGATCAGCTGGATCACTGGATCAATTAGACATTTTTCTCACGAATCTGAAATTGAGAATGCGGCTCAGGAGTTGAACTTGTCTCTGTTCAGAAGCGTCTGAATATGACTGAACGTTTTGGTTTTTATTTATTCTTCCATTAAGCCCACTTCTTACACGAGCTAGCTTGGGTGTATATATCTTATATGCTTTCAAAGCAATAAACTGAAACACATCTCAAGCTAAAACTGAGCAGAAATACCCATATATAAATAAAAATAGGATAGGATAGCAACCTGCATTCTCGTAGAAAAACTAAGTGCTTTAAGAAGTTACAGAACCTGGTAACACAGGCTGCAACATGGGTTCCCATGGCAATAGTAAAACCACTACCCAGTTGACTCTGCCTTTGCTAAAAGTGGATTGTTGGTTTGAAGCAATTGGTACTAATTGATTACTTAAAGGTCCAACGCCTTGTCATTAAAGTTGACAATGAGAGGAAAACCTTCTAAGCATGCTTACAGTAGTGTTTTTGTTTTGTTTTTATTTTACCCATACAAAAATAAAATTTATTATCAAATCATCTTATGTCTTTCAAACAAAAAATAAAAACAAGTTTGGTGACATTTCTTCCTGGGAGCTATCTTTACTACTGTTAATGTCAAAGATTAAATAATACAGTAAAATTAAAAGTCACTCTTAAAAGTATTAACTAATCTCCCTAATTTGTGTTGCATTTTCTTCTCCTCCCTGAAGGTAAATCAATTAATAAAACTGTCATATCATATATGATGTATATATCATATATAAAATATGAGCTATATAAGACATATATAAAATATGAGATATAAATGATTATCTCACATATAAAATGTGAGACATATCATTTATCTCATATGGAAAATATGAAAGATATATATCATATATATGTATATAATCATGCATGTTAAATTGGGCCATACAAAATTCCTATATGGGAACATTTAGAGGCAGTGAGAAATTTTTGAAAAAAATGTAGATTTCAAAACACATAAAATTAACAGTGGTTTAAACAAATTGTGATTTATTCTTGAATATGAATGCTAAGTATTCTAGAAAACCACTTAGGGTAGAAAATGTGTCACATACAATTCGAACTTCACTAACAATGAACAAGATCAAAATGTGCCCTGTTTCCTACCGTCTTATAAGAAAATATCTTCTAAAAATTTTATATTTGATTCTGCAAGAAAGAACAGGATTTTGCCACTATTGCATTCCTAGGTTTGGTCATCATACAGCTTACTTTTATTTCAAAATTCTTTACTCATATCAAATAGCTCATATGTCTGGGGTTTTCTACTTTTTATGTTTGCCATATTTCTTATATAATCCTGCTGACTAACCAATTTTCTTTTTTTTTTCTTTTGTTTATGTATTCTTGGCCATCTACTGTTTTGATCTACTTTTTTTATCTGTCATTTTCATCTTTACTTTTTCATCTGTCATTTTCATCTTTACTTTTTTCCACATTAACCCTAAAAACAGACTGACATGTTTTATATTGTTTAAACACACTTTCCACAGATGTGCCAAGTAATAAAAAAGAGAAGAAAACCTAATCTTAAAAATCCAAATCAGACTTGTTATAATGAAACAGATGATTACATATTTTGTTCAGAAATAGTCCTTCAAAGAAAAATAATCTTTTACTGTGCACTTAATTAATTATAATCATAAATAACAGTAAAAATATCCTAACAAAGTATTTCTAGATTTATTACATAATTTTACGGTGGACCCAGGGGCCCCCAAAACAAGACATGAATTAAGTCTGAACAATTAAGTTTGAATAACAATAAATTTAATATTACTCATCATAAAACAATAGAACTACAATTTCTAGTTTACACTTGAAAGGCTCCTAATTTTAACCTGTGACCATCAGCTATCCACAGCAATATTGAGTTGGAGATATTTATATATATACATAGATGCAGTCGACTAGAAGAGGTATTTAAATGAACAGACAGCACGAATACACTCAGATGAATGTGCACGGGATACGAGATCTCATATGAAGGTCAGGGAAGACTTTCTGAATGGTGTGACTCATGTACTGAGTCTGGACTTTGGAGTTAGCCAGATGAAGAAGGGGACTATACTGCAGACAGAGTAAACATTAAGTGGGACGAACTGGGCCTGTGATGTCATGGTGGAATCTACAGATAGTGATTAGTTCAGTAGGGCTGGTGAATGTGATCTTCATCTGGAGGGGCACTCATGTCAGAAATCAGATTATTCCTCCTACAAGAGCCATGCAAAGAGAATGGGTTCTTTCCCTAAAAACAAGAGGAATCATTGAAGAGATTTAACAAGTGAAGAGTTATTTTTAAAAAGTAATGAAAAAAGGCGGGGCACTATAGCTCACTCCTGTAATCCCAGCACTTTGGGAGGCCATGGCGGGCAGATTACCTGAGGTCAGGAGTTCGAGACCAGCCTGGCCAACATGGCGAAATCCCATCTCTACTAAAAATACAAAAATTAGCCGGTGGTGGTGGCGGCGCCTGTAATCCCAGCTACTTGGGAGACTGAGGTGGGAGAAACGCTTGAACCTGGGAGGCGGAGGTTGCACTGAGCCAAGATCGTGCCACTGCACTCTAGCCTGGGTGACAGAACGAGAATTCTTCTCAAAAAAAAAAGTAATGAAAAAATACACCAGGTATAAAGTGAGAAGACTGATGGGCTGGTTCAGAAGAGGAAGCAGAGGTAGGGCAGAGAGGATCTGGACTGAGAAGGGAAGATGGGGCTGAGATGAGAAGGGGGAACTCAGGTGTGCGAACCTCCCTGCAGGGCTTGGGAGCTTCGGGGGTGCGGGAGGAGGGATGTCAAGTTTATAGGTTGACTCCCAGGCATTTAGACTTCTGCCCGTTTAAGCACTTCTTTTTTTTGACATTAATTTTAATATTTTGAGATTGTTTTATTTTGTCAAGTATATTTTGTTTGTTTACCCTTTTATTAGGACAACGACTACTTTAGATCTTCTCCCTACCTCTGTTTGTGGAGTCACTTGCTGGTGAGGGTCTATTCCTTACCTTCTACCGTATTTTATAACTAGAATGCTTTCACTGAACCTGAATATAAGAACAATGTTATTTTGACATATGCCTTGAGGTTGTGGAGAAAAGGGAACACTTATTCACTGCTGCTGGGAATGTAAATTAATTCAACCATTGTGGAAAGAAGTTTGCAGGTTTTTCAAAAAACGTAAAACCCAGCAATCCCATTGCTGAGTTTATATCCCAAAGAAAATAGATCGTTCTACCAACACATGTATGTTCATCGCAGCACTACTCACGATACCAAAGACATGGAATCAACCTAAATGCTCATCGA
Source organism: Homo sapiens (assembly GCF_000001405.40). NCBI lineage: Eukaryota > Metazoa > Chordata > Mammalia > Primates > Hominidae > Homo > Homo sapiens. The sequence continues at coordinate 4,458,484 of NC_000010.11, read as the reverse complement.
TGGTGGCCTAGATACAGAAAATGTGGTACAAGTATACCAGGTAATACTATGCAGCAATAAAAAAAAATGAAATTATGTCCTTTACGGCAACGTGGATGCAGCACGAGGTCATTAATCTAGGCTAAGCCAGTTAATGCAGGAACGCAAAGGCAAATGCTGGGTGTTGTCACTTCTAAGTGGGAGCTAAACATTGAGTACACTTGGACACAAAGAGAGCAACAACAGACAGCGGGGCTGCTTACGGGTGGAGGGTGGGAGGACGGTGAGGGTCAAAAAACTACCTGTCCGTTACTATGCTCACTACCTGGGTGACAAAATCATTTGTCTACAAAACCCTAGTGACAGGCAATTTACCATGCAACAAACCTGCATACGTGCCCCCTGAACTGAAATAAAAATTGAGAAACGAACAAAGCAAAACAAAATATATGCCTTGAGAAATGAGTTCAAAATGTTTTGGGCGGGGTGGGGAGGGTCAGGGCGGGGAAGAAGAGTAGGAACTTGCCACAGCTCAGATAGGCATAGGACAAATACAAGGACGAAGCCGCGTCTGTCTCAGAGTCATTCTAACGCCTGTGGAAGTGGGTCCTCTCCCCTCAAGGACGTGAGGCTGAATTCACCTGAGGCATGACAGGAGGGTGTGCGCAAAGCAGCCTCACACAACAAGCAGGGGTCCAGGCGGCGGTTTTCCGACGTCGACGTCTCAGCAGTGAGCAGGGTGCGCTGGGAAACTCACCAGGCACTTGGAGGCTTGAGTGTCCTTGGGCTTGCACAGAGTGGATTCCCGGGGCTTGGTTTTTCTGATTATTCTTAGAGAAGCTCAAAAAGTACAATGACATGTGTGTAAGTCTCCCTCTATGTATTTCCCATAAGGCTACATTTATCACTACATTTGTTAAAAAAAAAAAAAAACAGATTGTGTATTAGCGTCACAATTTATTCCAAGTATCCAACTTACTTTCTCTTTTTCTACATTGCTTTGGGAATCTCTTTCCCCTGTAACTTTGCCGCTACATGATTTCCTGGATTCATCATGTTAAAACACACTTACTTAAAACATAGGTGAACATATCTACAATGTAACAATGCCTTTCGTCTATTTCCTCTTCAGCTAATGATATTCAGAGCATATATAGTTTTTCCTGGCCTCTTTTACAATCATTGCATTTTTTCCAAGTAATATCATGGCTAATATAAATTTATTGCTTATTATTACACTGCACATTTTCATTGCCTTAAATGAGAATTTCAGCGTGCTTTAAAGTAAAAAGAATGTGAAACGATTTCCAAATATATATTGTCTCACAATATGCTATGGAGTTGAATGATTTCTTATTACAATTCTCAGACAAAATCTTACTGTAGGTGCTGAAATAGAAAATATAGTTCATGATTCTACTGTCTAAAAAAGATTACAGTTGGCTGACTGTATAACATCTCTATTATTAGTTCTTGGCAAATTTCTCTCGAGGGTACTTTTCTGGGGTTGTAAATGTCTACATCTTGAGCACTGTGGCATTGAACAAAGTGATTTTAGATGAAGTTTTTCTGGAATCAATAAAACATCAATGTTAAAGTTGACTTAGAGAATCACAAAGATTTTAGAAGATCACTACTACCAAAAGCTTCTATTGACAGTATTATTAGACTTTACATTTAATGATGATCTATTTCTGAGTCATTCTATTAGGTAATGTATAAAATTTTTAAAAACGATTACCTATATTCTTAAGCTCATTCATTTTAAGTACTTCAGACCCAAACATTCTGCTCTCTCCTAAATATCTCCATATGTTTCCCTTGCCTATGTAGCAAAGCTCAGTATTTCCAATTCTGAACTTATTGACATAATCGTGAAAACATAGCCTGAGGCATCAAGACTCCAAGAGAGAATTTCCAATTAGAATATTTATTTTTCTTTGGCAGTAAATAATTTACTTGGGGAAAGAGCATATATGCATAGAACAGCTATTAAGCAGAACATAAATGAGATTGAATTGTAGGACAAGAAAACAAAGGGAAACTGTTTGCAAAGGGATGGCATGCGTCTCATTGAGGGTATGTGAGAAAACACTGGGTGGAGCATTTCACCTTGTGCCAGTGGCTCTGCCTCCGGGCTGAATGTGTACCACCTCTGGAAATGGCAATCCAGAAATATCAAAATTACAGATGTTTTTACACTTCTGACCCTCCCATTCCCTGTTCCAACAACTAAAACGTAGGCGGCAAGTCTCTGTGGGTTTAGAATCCAAGTGATTTCTCCCAACAGTCCCCATTCTATTTCAGCTCTGCTGGATGGGTCCAGCCACTCCCGCTGTTTCTCACTTCTTCGTCTTTGACTTCCATGAGGCCTGCAGCCTCAGTCTTCAGTCCAGATCCTCACATTCATCTTTTAGATGCATTCACATTCTTAAATCTCAGTACATCCTACGCCTCAAAAATCTTCAGTGGGTCCACGGTGCATACGAATTATTAGTTTGGTGATTTTATCACTTTGTGATGTGAAGCCAGGTTTTCCTTTTTCACTTGTCTTCTGTCATAAGGTCAAGCATCTGGGGTTCTGCCATGTTGGACATGTAACGCCATGTAGCTTTCACTCACTCTATTTATTCCGTCATCCTCCAAACACCATCTTCTATTTCTGTGTACTGAAATCTGATTTAATATCACACCTAGGTTCAATGTCATCTTCCAGAAATGTGTTTGTAATCTGCCCTCTGGTCTCCCAGCATTCATCAAACATTTTCCAAGCACAGTGTTATGACTTTATGAGACTATTTTCACCTGTGCATAATATTTGGCTGATGCATGGCTACGCATTCAACTAAATCATAATTTTAGGCAAGAATCAGGCTTTATTCTTGGCTGTATTTCCCATAGTTTTCACTGAATATTGGATGAATATATAAAGGAAGGAAGAAGAAAGGAAGGAAGAAAGGAAGGCAGGAAGGAAAGAAGGAAGGAAGGGAAGATTGCATTTGTTACAGAAAATAGTAAAGGGTACATAAACACTTGAGAAAATCCCAAACCAGTTTATATTTTTTGAAAATTGCATAATGCAATCATTTGAAAAATAAATGGCTAAATTAGAGATTAAATTGATAATAAATTCTAGATTACATTACTAATAAAACTGTGGCAAGGAATAGATTTATGAGACATTCTGAAATATTCTGTGTGTGTGTGTGTGTGTGTGTGTGTGCATCTGTGATGGCCTTTACTTTGTTACTACTGATTTAATTATTTTAAAACCCTTATTAAGTGCTCTGTGGATTCATAGTGGCACCTCTCTAAAAATCTGAAAGTCAATATAGTCTTTTAAACTACAGAGTTGGTGCCCTTTGTCTTATGAAGGGAGGGAGAACATAAACTCACTTACTCTTATATGTATGGAAAGTCTTAGTTTCTACAAAAAGAAAGTAGTTGCCCTTTAGAATTATGTACAGATGAGCATACATAATTCGAGATTTTTTAATAGATTCCCTTTAGAACTTGGTTGTTGTAGCACATTTATTCTATGTCTTAGTACATTTGAGCTGCTATAACGAAATACCATGGACTGAGTGGTTTATATACAACAGAAATTTATTTCTCACAGTTCTGGAGGATGAAAAGTCCAAGATCAAGGCAGCAGCAGATGCGGAGACTGGTGAGATCCCATCCTCTGGTTCATAGATGGCACCTTATTACTGTGCCCTCACATAGTGGAATGGGTGAGGGAGATCTCTGGGGCCTTTTTGACAAGGGCACAAGTCCCATTTATGAGGGGTCTCCCCTTCTGACAGAATTATAACATATAAATTATATAACATCCCGACTATAGCACTCACCAAGAGAAGGTGTTTCATAAAGGTAAAACAGTTTCTTTATCTGAGTGAAGGCTGAGTGTCCCATTCTTTTAAAATCAATTAAAAGATGCTTACTTACACAGCATCTACTGCGTCTAAGGCCCTGTGACCTGCACAAGGGTATGACAGTGAACAAGACAGAGTCCCTACTCTCTCCCGACCTTTGTGAATGACACCTACAGTACAATTGTCAGAGGCGTTTGAACCAGAGCGACTCCATCTTGAATAGGTACTGGATAAAATAAGGCTCAGACCTATTGGACTGCATTCCCAGAAGGTTAGGCATTCTGAGATAGGAGGTTGGCACAAGATACAGGTCACAAAGACCTTGCAGATACAACAGGTTGCAGTCAAGAAGCCGGGCATAACCAAGATGGTGAGCAAAGTGAGCTCTGGCCTTTCCCACTGCTCACTGTATGCTAATTATAATACAGTAGCATGCTAAAAGACATTCCCCCCGGCAGCACGACAGTTTACAAATGCCATGGCAACATTAGGGAGTTACAGTATATTGTCTAAAAAAGAGAAGTACCATCCGTTCCAGGAATTGCCCACCTTTTCCCCAGAAAACTCATGAAAAATCCACCCATTGTTTAACACATAATCAAGAAGTAAGAATAAGTATAAGCAGCTGAGGAGACCATGCCGCTCTTTTGCCTATGGAGTAGCCATTCTTTATTCCTTTTCTCTCTTAATAAACATGTTTTTACTTTACTCTATTGACTCACCCCAAATTCTTTCTTGTGGGAGGCCTAAGAACCCTTTCTTGGCATCTGGATGGGGACCTCTTTCTGGTAACACAGTCTTGCAAATGTTATAATAAGGATTAATGGTTATAGTGTTAGTACAAGATTTCTGGAAGAAATGATGGAAGGACTGATACAGAAGATGAGACCTCAAATATTAGAATTGATAGAAATGAGCAGCAAATGATATCTCAGATGGAAAGAATAATCTTTGGGGGAGCCTAGGTTGGGAAGTGAGCAAAATACTTTGGACAAGCAGAAAGTCATTTCGTGCCTGGTGTAATGGGATGTAAATAAGTGAAAGGAAACTGGAAGAATGAGTAGGGCTCAGATAAGAGCAGAACTTGTAAGTAAAGTATTACGGACTTTACCCCGAGGACAACAAGGAGCTGACTTAAGTAAATTCCCTAGGACAGTCCTTGGAGAAGAGATTGCAGGAGAGCTGCAGGAAGATTAGAAGCAGGTGCTGTCGTCACAGGAAGGTGCAGTAACCTATTTGACATACGATGCTGGCCTGAAGTGGTGACAGAGGCAGGGAATAGAGAGAAGTTAACCGAGTTGAGCGATCCCGAAAGGTTTAGATGCAAGCCTGGGAGACCATCAATGTTTCTGCTGAGGGCAGAGAAAAAAGACTGAGTCAAAGATGAGACTCAAGTTTTATCCTAAATAAATTTTTGTCATCTGGACAGGCTGCAGAATCCGCATAAGAAGGAAAAAATAAAGTAACCTTCATTGTTTTAATCCGCTAATAATGTGGTGGGGTTTTTTGTTGTGGTGGTTGTTATTGCAGCATAACAAGTAACTTTCTAACTGATACAAGCTATAAGGAATAACAGCAGTGTGTGTGTGTGTGTGTGTGTGTGTAAATAATAACATGAAAAGAAAAACACTGAGGTGAATGTGATTTTGAAGGCAGGTTTGTCTTCCATATAAACTACGCTATTTTCATCCATCTATGAGACTATGACAAAGCTAATAATAAATCAATGGGAAGATTTCTTGCTGGGTTTTCAAGCAAAACAAGTTAATAGGGTTCCACTGAATTTATGAATGAAGATGCCCTGTGAATTTAGCTACATCCTACTGTGAGAAAACAGCACCTCCTCTGTCCCTCTCCTGCCTATTTCTAGTTGATGTGTCTCTGCTGAAACTGGTGGCTGTCTCTTGACAGGAGGTGATGCATTATAGCCAGGATTTTCCTTGCATTTTACTTCTGCAGGAAACTGTAAGAATCAGCTATTTTTGACTCTCATTTGCAAACATAATACTATATAACATTGTCAAAAATGAATCTTTTTGAAATCTACGGCATAATCTGAAGTATCACCAAAAACTAGTTTTCTTGTCAAATACAGTGAAATTGAACTGGAAAAAAATATTCTTTTAAAATAAAGCAACGGAAACATGTAGCCATCTGACAGTGAAACTAAGCCAGACTTTATCCTTCCAGGGGACATAACTGCCATTGTTTCTCCCCTCCTCCTCGACCAATGACATGGAACCTGCCACCCCTTCCATCCTCACTCCCCTCACTACTGAGAGGACGGAGTCTCGCTGAATATTTCATGAGAATCTGACTTTCCTTTAGGGCTTTGACCTATTTTTCTTCTGGCTTACAGCTTGCACTGGTCCTGAAATATGTTACAGTGGGGCATAGAATAGGCAAAGTAGTCTCTCCCCAACTCTTGGCAATTGGATAAAATGAGTTCAATTTTCTTACTGGTTCCTGTCTAGAGATAGACAGAACCCACTCTGTCTTCAACTAGCGCAGAATGACTGACATCCAAAGACTAGTCCAGTCACCGTTATGCTCAAAATAATTAGCATAAGCAATGACAGATAATGTATTTACTGTGGGGATATGAAATATTAGAGAAGTTAATTTTATCATCTTATTTGATGGAAATTTGGTTGTTACATAATTGTTTGTGGGTATACAATAGAAAATATAAAAATTTCTACTCACACACTAACAGTATATTAAAGATGAGCATGAATTTTTCCTAATATGGCACAAGGCAAAGAAGAGAAAAGAAATCACATAGTGCCGATGATGGAGGGTTGAATTGTTAAGTTATCATTTGAAAGATAAGCCATGTGGGCCCAGGGGAGCTTTATCCCCTTTAACAACATGTATGTGAGTGGTTATTGTACTGTAGTTTTGTCAAGGGAACTTAGTAATGAGATAAAATAACAGCTGTATATTTTGTAGAGAAGTTTGCTTAGGAAGGCAGTTGTCATGGGAACACCTGGCAATAGCGATTTGATTTTGTGTTGTACGAAACCAATGAGTTTACTTTGTCTAGATAATTTTCCTCACGCTGGCAACTTCTGGGGGAAAGGGAACTAGCCTTTTCCAGAAATTTGCATATTAAAAGGACCCACTTCATTTCAGAGTAGAGGTGGAGAAGGCTTTATTGACAAGCCTCCTCACCAATGAATCACATACTTATACCAAAAAATGCACATGGTGTAAATTTACCACGTTTCGAAAGAGCTCTGACTGTCTCAGCCTGTGCTCTGGAGCTCTGCGTTAGGCAAATGAGTCACGTTCAATTATAAGTCCTCAGAAATTTGCTTAAAATCGTTGCAGCTGGGAGATGTAAAAAACCTTATGAATGAGGAAAATCGAAGTGAATTATACTTCACGGGGAAGTCTCTCAATGAAAAATGTGGTAAACAGGCCTGGAGGAAAAAAAGGAAACAGATGCTGACTGATAAGAAATGCTTATTTTAACAGGGAGACACCAGCATGGATGTGCTGGGGTTTAAAGAAAGACTCAGCAGATCTGGTTTTTCTCTCTGCAGGTGGCTCGGCTTCAGTGAACTGAAATATCTTGATCAAAAGATAAAATGCATTTCACCTCCGAGGGTGAAAACAGGTGATCCTTTCATTCAGCTCTAGGAATCCAAGATGGCCTTGCACACGCATACAGAATGCAAATCGGTCACACAGCCTGAGAATGTCTACCCTCCAATGTCAACCCGCATTGCACCAAGGAAGGGACAAAAGACAAACTCACATGGCCATCCCCAAGGAACCCAGAGCCCTAGGCCTCCACGACCACTCTTAGTAAGAAAACTTTCTACTTTGCAGATTCCTTGATAAAGTCAGTTGAATCTGACACAGGTAGAGATTAATGATCATGTCCTAGGCTTAGAAAAAGGTCATCTCCCTAAGAAGATCCAATGTCTTTTGGTCAAAGAAAAACGCAGAAGATTATGGAAAGATAGAGGAAAAAAGATTAGATTGCTTTTTAAGTTACTGCTGGAATTAAGAAACTTTAGATGAATAATCTTAATTATTTTATTAGAATCTGTCCTTCAGGACTGTGTCTCTTTTCAAAAGCAGAAAGTTATTAATCTTGCTGTATAAGCTTGCTTTTTTTTTTTTTGCTTTGAGCCTGGAAAGAGAGGTCTAGGAGTTTATCTCCCTTTTGTCTTTCTTTGCCTGTTTCCAGACACAGTCATTATTTATCTGGGCATAGAATATGAGAAGCTCCCTGAATTCATGTGGTGGAAACCAACTCTTTGTGTTTTTTATGGCATCCTTTGACAATTTAAAGTCATATTATAGGAAACTGCATCTGATTGTGACCGGGGGTTTCAGTGTGATGATGCGTTGATTTCGCCCTATCTCAAAATAGTTTGCACGGGCCAGTGTGGGAAATATAAATGGGCATTTCAGAATAATTACAATAGTGAACATGTATTTATCACGCATTATGTGTCTTACACTGTGATCTCTCAGTGTTATTTCATTGTATCTTCAATATAAGATGGCAGATCAGTAGTATTGATACCTCCACTTTAGAGGTGAGGAAACTGAGGCCTTAGAACTTGCTCACATTCTCAGAGTGGATTGTTTTAGAGCTGGAATTTGAATCAGGCTGTGGGACTGGAGAACCTGTGTTCCTAAACTCATCACCATACACTGCATAGTTTAGAAGACACTCTAGATTACTCCCCTTCCCTAATAATTACCTCCATCCAGCCTCTGAAAATGGAAAGCTGCAGAGTGTGGCCAAAAGTTCTAGAGAATATTGTAGCTTACTTAATGAATCACACTTCTCTGTATATATTTTGTTATTCAATTTTGTAATTAATCTGGAATCAACCCAGATATTCCAACATCTTGAAAGTCCTAATGTACTGAAGACATTGACCAATTTAACCGTAGCCAATCACTTTTTACAATTGTTTCCATTTGAGGTCCTCAAAAATATTTGAAACAAATAAAATCAGGGCTGTATAAGAATGGAATATAGGGCCCACAAGAACATAATAATAGAAACTGAAGTTCAACTAGAGTCCCCTTAGCTTCAGAAAGCTTACCTACAGATACGGCAACAAGCTGTTATTTATCTTTACTTTGGGCGTCATAAGAAAAAGTGTTTAGCTTGGGATGTAAATCACACAAGCTACGCAACGAAAGATATGTTCTGCTGGTGCCTCAGGAATTTAGTAATGGAAATGCCTTCCAAAGAGAAACTTCTGAAGGAATAGCTTGCTTGGAAGACAGAGCTCAAAAATGTATGGCAGAAGGTCAGAAGGATTAAGGTCAGGGAATCTGTGATTCTATAAATTTTGTGATTTATGAACTTATTTCCACATCTAACAGTCCTATATTCCATATACCAACACATTTTTTGCATTGTCTCTTATTATATATATAATATATATTATTTTATATATATATAATATATGTATTATTTTATATATATATAATATATATATTATTTTATATATATATAATATATATATTATTTTATATATATATATATATATTTTTTTTTTTTGAGATGGAGCCTCACTCTTGTTGCCCAGGGTAGAGTGCAATGGCATGATCTCAGCTCACTGCAACCTCCACCACCCGGGTTCAAGTGATTCTCCTGCCTCAGTCTCCCAAGTAGCTGGGATAACAAGCATGCACCACCACACCCAGCTAAATTTGTATTTTTAGTAGACATGGGGTTTCACCATGTTGGTTAGGCTGGTCTCCAACTCCAGACCTCAGGTGATCCACCCGCCTCAGCCTCCCAAAATGTTGGGATTACAGGCATCAGCCACCACGCCTGGCCTACTTAATAGAGTTTTAATAAAATTTGAAAATGATTTCACATGTCACAATTTTCTTCTTAATTCTGCATTAAAGTAAGAATTAATTTAACTTCTAATACAATAAAATATTTGCTCCAGTTAAAAAAATAAAAGTTATACATGACAATACACGTAGAATATTGACTTTAGCAAAAATGACCGCGTTATTTTAAGGGAAAATTCTCTTCTCTGATATGTTTTGTTATCTTCAAATTACTCATCCTACCTCCCTAGTTCACTGAGTGTAAAAAGAAGAGAAGAGATTAGTAGCAGATTCAGTAGCATTTCAGAGCTCAAGAGGACAAAGTAAACTGGTGCTAATGCTGAAAATTTCACCCATCTGTGATTGCTCCTATGTCCAGGAAATGCCTTTAACAATTTGGCTTAGAAATGCCATTGGCTGAGATACATGAGGGCAGATGCTGCACCCTGCTTAGGTGCTATTTGATTAGGCCCATTTTGCTTTATGGCAAAGGTCTAGCAAGAATCCACTTTCTAACACAGTGGATAAGAGCTGTTTCTATAAACACTCCAAATGTATTTTCTTGTTGAAAGCATGGTGTGCACTTCAAAAAGATTGCTCACAATTGAGCAAGGCATCCTTTCATAAAGCTCTTTAAGATATAATGCCAGACTTACTTCATGGGGGGCTGCTGCTGAATGCTGAAATGAATTACAGGAAGTGTTATGAGGAGCATGCTGAGACTTTAGAAAACGCAGACCTCTAGACCTGCTTGCCAAATCCAGACCAATTCTGGCTATGTTATTGTTTGCCACTACCTGATGAACTTTCCCCCCATCCCACATTCATATATATAAGAATGTGTGTGTGTGTGTGTGTGTGTGTGTGTTTATATATATAAAAGTTACATAAATATAGCTATGCATATATAACTATATATACACACACATATATGTATAGTTACTTTTACATATATTTATGTATATATTTATGTACACACAGGAAGGCATTTCTTAGGGTGTTTTGATGTGTGTATGGGTATATATGCATGTGTGTGTGTGTGTGTGTGTGTGTGTGTGTTTCTGGGTCACTGAATCTAATAGTTTCTTACAGATTTCAGAGGCAATGCTGTATGTGTCCCTTAATAAACATTAAAATTCATGTTGGCTTTGATTAAATGTGAAATTGGAAGTATTCTGTTTTAAGAACAATCTTTTAATGCACATTAACATTTGGATTTGATAATAAATAATGATTTTCATTAAACAGACATGTTTCCATTACTATTAAAGTTGTGAAGTTTGCGATTCACAAATTGGAGGACTTTCCCACTCCCATTCCCCAGTCCTTCTACTGACCCTTCTGCAAATCCACATGATCACATGGGTGACTCACAGCACCTATGACGGTTCTTTATGAACTGAAACAGAGGATTCTTCTCTTTAGAGGACCTAATTCCAGAGTATCCCCAAGGCTTTAGAACTGTGACTAAAAGATGGATTCAATTTCTTTATCATAGGCTGGATCCTCACCATGTTTGAAGCTCTGGGTGGCCTTGACTTCTGCCGTGTGGACCAGTAACAGAAGCCAGTTGCAAAAAGAGAAGAATGAAGTCAACATACAGAGGCTGCCTTTTGCCAAGACCTTTCATGCCAGATGGGTCTTTGAAATAATGCAAACGCATCTGTTATTCAGGTTTCTTTTTTTCTTCTTCAAGTGCTTTTCATTCTGAAAAAAATAGAAAAAATACAAAAATAAAAAAAATTTTAAATGTAAAAAATGTAAAACAAGTTTGTGACAAGGAATTATCACAGAATCATGAGTGCAGGCTACCATTAGAATAATCAGTAAATAATACATATGATACAATATATCATATGCTAAGCCATATATAAAAATCTCAGTAAATTAAAAATGATTGAAAGCATCCAAAGTGTATTTCCTAAAAATAACAAATTTAAATTGTAAATTAAATAAATAAGAGAGAAAAAGTTAAGGAATTAACAAATATTTAGAAACTAACAAGACTTTTTTTTCTTTTTTTTTAAATTTGTTTTACTTTAAGTTTCAGGATACATGTGTAGAACTTGCAGATTTGTTTCTTAGGTGTATGCCATGGTGGTCTGCTGCGCCTACTGACCCATCCTCTAAGTTTCCTCCCCTTAATCCCCACCTCCCAACAGGCTCTGGTGTGCGTTGTCTCCTCCCTGTGTTCATGTGTTCTCATTGTTCAACTCCCACTTATGAGTAAGAACATGCGGTGTTTGGTTTTCTGGTCCTGTGTTAGTTTGCTGAGGATGATGGCTTCCAGCTTCATCCATGTTCCTGCAAAGGACATGATCTCATTCCTTTTTATGGTTGTGTTGTATTCCATGTTGTATATTACCACATTTTCTTTATCCAGTCTATCATTGATGGGCATTTGGGTTGGTTCCATCTTTGCTATTGTAAATAGTGCTACAATAAACACACGTGTGCATTTGTCTTTATGGTAGAATGATTTATACTCCTTTGGGTATATACCTAGTAATGGGATTGCTGAGTCAAATGATATTTCTGGTTCTAGATCCTTGAGGAATCTAGATCCTTGAGAAATACTGTCTTCCATAATGGTTGAACTAATTTACATTCCCACCAACAGTGTAAAAGCATTCCTGTTTCTCCACAGCCTCTCAGCATCTATAGTTTCTTGATTTTTTAATAATCACCATTCTGACTGGCACGAGCTGGTATCTCATTGTGGTTTTGATTTGCATTTCTCTAATGATCTCTGACGTTGAGGTTTTTTTTTTCATGTGTTTGTTGGCTGCATAAATGTCTTCTGATAGAACAAGACACTTTTAAATAACTCATAAGTCAAAGAAAAAATGCAAGAAAAACTAGAAAATATTTTTAAATTATTACCAATGGAAAGGCAAAATATCAAATTGATGAGATGAAACTAAGGCTTCACTTAGAGAGAATTTCATTTTTTCAAATGATTACATTAGAAAAGAAGACCTCAAATCAATAACTTAAACATCCAATTTAAAAAAAAAGAAGATAAAATTATACTCAGAGCAAGAAAGAAGGAAATATTAAAGGTTAAAGAATCAATGAAGTTGAAAACAGAACAATAAAGAAAATTGATGAAATCAGATGACGCTTATTTCAAAACATTAATTAAATTGACAAATCTTTAGCTAGAATAACAAAGAAAAAAATACAAAAAATTCAAATTATCACAATCAGTAATGAATGAGAGGGGATAACTATTGACTGTTCAGAAATTTAAAAAGATCATAAGGAAATAATGTTAACAACTTTATTTCAACAAATTAGACAACTTAGTTTAAATAGACACATTTTAGAAATATAATTTATCAAAAGTCACTCAAAAATAAATAGAAAATCCTAATAGACCTATAACAAGTAAATAATTTGAATTAGTAATTTAAAATTTTCCCACAAAGTAAAGCCAATGCTTAGATGGTCTCACTGATGAATTTTAGCCAGAATTTAAGGACTTCACAACTCCTCCACAAAATACAGTAACAGAGAATAATTCCTAACTCATTCCATAATGCAGTGCTACACTATACCAAAGACATCTGAAGGAAAGCTGACTAGAGACAAACATATCTCATGAACATAGATATGTTATGAGATTCCCAAAAGATATTAGTAAAAAAATTCCCAAAAGATATTAGTAAACTGAATCTAGCAACATATGAGAACGGGATTTTACAGTATATTAGTCTGATCTCACACTGCTATAAAGACATACCTGAGACTGGGTAATTTAAAAAGAAAAGAGGTTTAATTGACTCACAGTTCCACTTGGCTGGGAGGCCTCAGGAAACTTACAATCATGGGGAAAGGGGAAGAGGCACGTCTTACATGGTGTCAGGTGAGAGAGAACAAGCAAGAGCAGGGAAAACTGCCTTACATAACCATCAGATCTCGTGAGAACTCACTCACTATCATGAGAATGGCGTGGGGGAAACCATCCTCATGATCCAATCACCTCCCAGCCAGTTCCTTCCTCAATGAGTGGGGATTACGGGACTTACTATTCCAGATGAGATTTTGGTGGGGACACAGCGCCAAACTATATTATACAGCATAAGCATGTTAGATGTACCAAGAATGCAAGATCATTTTAACCTACAAAAATCAAGTTATTCCAGTACACCACATTAATAAAGTACAAGATGAAAGACAAATGACCAAATCTATAAACATACAAAAAGCACTTCACAAAGTTCCAAATTTACTCATTATTTTTTTTAAATCTTCAGCAAGTTAGAAAAGAGAATTCTAAACTGATAATGATCATGTCTAGTAAATGTAATACTAATATTATACTTAATGGTGAAAGACTGAATGCATGTTTTAAGATCAGGAAAAAGGCAGTGAATGATATTTGTTCTTGCCATTTCTATTCAACATACTACTGCTAGAGGTCCTAGCAATTACTATGAGACAAAGAAATAAAACTCAAGGAATTTAGATTAGAATGAAAGAAGTAAAACTCTATTTCTATATATGAATAACATGATCTTATCTGTAGAAAATCCTAGAGACTACACTACAAAATTACTAAATCAAATAAAAATGTTCAGCAGGTTTGTATACATGAGATATCTATATGTCTAAATCTATCTCTATAGACAGCTTTTGTTTTCTGTATAATCTCAAGGGAAATTCCAAAACTGAAATTAAGAAAATAAATCCATTCGCAATGGCATCAAAAATAATAATATACTAACTAATAAGTTTAATTAAAAAGTGCTAGACTTATACATTGAATTCTATAAAACGCTGTTGAGATAAGTTAAAGAGGATTTGTATAAATGGAGAGATATTTCATGCTTATGGATTGGAAGACTCAACACCATTAAGACAACACTTCTGTCCAAACTGATCTCTAGATTTAATTCAATTCCTATCAAAATTTCAATGGCTTATTTTGCAAAAATTAACAAGCTGGTCCTAAAAGTTATTTATTTATTCATTTATTTTTTTTTTTTTTGAGACAGGGTCTCACTCTATCACCCAGGCTGGACTGCAGTGGTGTGATCACGGCTCACTGCTGCCTCAACCTCCTGGGCTCAATTGATCCTCCTGCCTCAGCCTCCTGAGTAGCTAGGGATACTGGCACATGCCACCACATGCAGCTAATTTTTTTAAAATGCTTTTTTGTAGAGACAGAGTCCCACTATGTTGCCCAGGCTGGGCTCAGACACCTGGACTTATGCATCCCCCTGCCTCAGCATCCCAAATTGCTGGGATTACAGTCATGAGCCACCACACCAGGCCCAGTCCTAAAATTTACATGGATATGGAAAGCACACAGAATATGAAAAACAATTTTGAAATGCAGAATTAGAAAGTATAAGTACTCTGTGAATTAGAGAACTCACACTTTCTAATTTCAAAAGTTACTCTAACCCTACAGTAATCAAGACCAAGACCATGTGCTACTGGCACAAGGATACACATGCAAATCCATGAAGAAGACTTGGGAGTTCAGTGACAGTTTTAGTGTTGATATTTGACAAAGTTTCAAGGCAATTCAATTCATAAGGCACAATGTTTTAAAAAGTGCTTCTGAAATATTAGACATCTGTAAACATTGACTTTAGATCCTTGAGCGTTACACAAAAATTAACTAAAATATCACCGTAGACCTAAATGGGACAGGTAAAATTTTAAAACTTTTAGAAGAAAACATGGGAGAAAAATCTTTGCAACTTATCTGGAGTCCAAGAGTTATTAAATATGACAATGAATGCATGACCCATAAAAGAAAAAATATAAAGTAGATTCTATCATTATTAATATTTTTGTGCTTCAAGAGACAGATTTAATAAAATGAAAAACAAAATTGTAATTTCGGTGAAAACATTTGCAAACAATACACCTGATACAGAACTTGAATATAAAAAGAACTTTTACACCTCAATAATAATAAGACAAAAATATCAATTTAAAATAATAGTTGAAAGACTTAAAAAGACATTTCAACAAGAATTCATATGAATGACTGTTAAAAAAGAAAGAAAAAAGAGACAACATTGATCATTACGAAATGCAAATTGAAAAACAAGAACGCTGTAATCAAAAAAACTGATAATAATAAGTGTTGACAATAATAGATAGAAACTGAAGTCTTCATATTTTGTTGATGAAGATGTAAAATGATAGAGCTGCTTTAGAAAACAGTGCAACAGTTTCTCAAATAGTTAAAAATGGAGTTACCATATGATCCAGCAATTCCAAGTCTAGGCATCTACCCAAAAGATATGAATACATATGTCCACATGAACGTTTGTAGCCAAATGTTCAGAACAGTATATTCATAAGAGCCCAAAAGTGGGAAAAATGCAAATGTCTATCAAATGGTGAATGGATACAAAATATGGTATACCATACAATGGAATGTCGTTCAATAATAAAGAGTAGCAAAGTACAGGAATACATTACCATGCAAACGAGTCGCTAAAACACTATGCTAAATGGAAGAAGCCAGATGCAATCCTGGATATGTTGTATTGTTTCTTTTATGTGAAATGTCCAGAGTAGCAGAGTCTACAAAGAAGGAGGTAGATGAGTGGTTACCTGGGGCTGGGGGTGAGAATAGGGATTGACTGCCAGTGGGCATGAGGTTTCTTTTTGAAATGATGGAAATGTTCTCACAATATATTGTTGGCACAGGTCAGTAAATAGACCAAAATCATTGCATTATTATTTAAATCAAGATAAGTTTATGGTACGTAAATTGTAATCCAATAAAGCTGTTATTTAAAAAAGAAGAAACATTGACTTATCACGGTTTTATTTTTAGAACAATAAAGTTGTAGAGCTCATCAACGGAAGGTATCGGTGTAAAGATAAAAATAAGGATCAAAGGGAAAAATAGAATTGAGAACTAGACACACATATGGACCTTCAATTGCTGTCTTACGAAAGTGTCAAGGTAAGGCAATGGGAAAAGATATTACTTTTAATAAATGATGCTGGACCATGTGACTTTTCTTAGATAAAAAACAAAATGATAAAATATTTAATAAGTGATGCTGGACCATATGACATTTCTTAGATAAAAAACCATAAAAGAAATTCAGAAGTTGTGTTTGATATGTTTTAAGGTTAAAAAATAATTAAATATATAGAAGCCAATGAGAGTGAGCTCTCTCACTACTGGAGAAGGAAGTTTCAAGTAAGCAAAGGGAAATGGTTAGAATAAACTTTGTCGTGTTGCACTGGGATGGAAGATATCAGCATGAAGTCAAAGAAAAATATATATACATATATATAAATTCATAGGAATAAACACAGAAATGAATATATATGTGTGTATACATGGGTTAATATACATATATATGTTTTCTGTTTTGTCCGCTGAGAGAACTTTAGAAATTGCGACATTTCCATAGCAATGAACACACGATGTGAGGTCACAGATCTAGTTTCTAAAGAGCATTTTCCTATACAAGAAACCAAGGCCCCTTAGAGAAGATTCTAAAGCTGGGGAAGAACAATACTATATAAGCATGTAACATCTTGTGGAGCTTAATTAGGGTGAGAGAGTAAAAAGAAAAGAAAGAATAAGCCGGAGGCATGCAAAAAGGCTCAGGAAACACCTGAAAGAGCAATGACGGTCAACGCTGGAACAATCCGAGCAGCCGGAAAATCAATACCCATGGGTGCATATTGATATAAATAAGCAGGGCTGGGCCCGGTGGCTCACGCCTGTAAATCCCAGCACGTTGGGAGGCCGAGGCAGGCGGATCTCTTGAGCCCAGGAGTTTGAGACCGGCCTGGGCAACACAGTGAGGCCCCATCTCTACAAAAAATACGAAAATTAGCTGGGCAAGGTGGCACGTGCCTGTGGTACCAGATACTCGGGATACTGACATGGGACCATCACTTGAGCCCAGGAGATCAAGGCTGCGTGCAGTGAGCTGTGATTGCAACACTCTATTCCAGCCTGGGTGACAGAGTGAGACTCTGTCTCTAAATAAATAAAAATTACAATAAAAGAGGATGAGAGACAAACCTCCCTAACAAATGAATTTCCGTAAATAAAGGGTAAGGGAAATAGAAAATTACCGTTGAAACAACACAGAAATACCTGCTGTGGGCAGGATTAAATAAATGTTAAAATGAGAAAGCCGGCAGGTGAAAGTATAAGGAGCAACAGGGTATTCAAAGGACCTTAAAATGTCTCCTATACAATTTTGTTGTCCACTAACAGACAACAGTACCTGTATAGTAAGGAGGCCAGCCAGACCCACCTTAACCAGGAATCAAGGTTGACACCAAGCATCACGGGATACCTTGATGTCCTGAGCCCTGATCGGTGTGCCCAGAAGAGCTCTTGACCTTACTGGAGTTCTGAAGAGCCGAACGCACCACACAGTCTCTAAGTGGGTGCTGCTTGGCAGCAGCTCTGGCTGTGCTCTTTCTTTTTTTTTTTTTAAATTATTATTATACTTCAAGTTTTAGGGTACATGTGCACAATGTGCAGGTTAGTTACATATGTATACATGTGCCATGTTGGTGCACTTCACCCACTAACTCGTCATCTAGCATTAGGTATATCTCCCAATGCTATCCCTCCCCACTCCCCCCACCCCACAACAGTCCCCAGTGTTCAGGCCACAGCAGAGACACTGGTGGAATCGGAGGAGACTGAAAAGACATATTATCTAAATGTAATGTGGGCTCTGGGACCAGACCGGGAACAGAAAATGGACATTGGCAGAAATATCAGTGAAATAAATACAAATAAAACCAGCAATTTAATTTCTGACATTGCACCAGTGGCAATCTGAGTTTGCTTAGTGGAGTTCTCTGTACTCTCTTTGCAACAGCCCTGTGAGTCTAAATGTGTTTCAGATAATTTTATTTTTTAAAAAAACGGCATATAAGTACCCTCAAAGCTGGCTTCTTCTCTAAGGAAGTGTTGTAAGAATTGAATGAGCTTGTAGATCAGGTATCATTTTTATATGTTTAATTAATTGTAATTCTAATAGTAATTCATGTTTTATTTAATCTGATTTAAAAATCTTCTGTTACTCAACAGCAATTGCCTGTGCATTATTTAATTGACAGTCCGTGCCACAACTGTGTGTCTCCATGTTTATGTGTAGAGAGACATTTTAGGAGTTATTAATTTGTTTAAGGTGTTGTTAGCCTTTTTAATTAATTAATTTTAATATGTAATGCCAGTTCAATGCTCATTTGGAAGAGGAAACCATAAGCATCCAAATTAAAATCAATCTTATGATATTGCTGAAATCTTTTTAAGTACATGTTTTTACTTCTATTAACCATGAGTTAAAAATTAAATTGCATTTCTAAAATGTATTAATTCCGCACTTGTGTAATAAGACTAACCTCATAAGCAACAGGTCATCAGAGATTCATTGTGCATAATTCCTATTCAATATGGGGTTTGACACTCATTTTTCCCATTTCTCCTGAATATGTCAGTGAGCTCTCCCATCCCTACGTATGTTCTATTTGGCTAAAAGACATGAGACAGAATGAGTCTCATTCCTTTATTTTAAATTGAAAAGATAGACCTGGTAAGAGGTCATTTCATTTGAATTACATAGTGTCAAGGTCGGGGATTAAAGAGAATTTTTAGTTTAATATTTTACCTGGCACCCAATACACTAACCATGGGAAAGAGAAAATTTATTCACTCTTTTTAGACAGAACAGAATGTTAGGAATTTGTAACAATACGTTTGGGTCAGTCTAAACATAGTGACAATAATTAGCTTATTCATCTAACCAGTCAGTTCAGTGAATCAACTTGTTTAGCATTTTCTTCTTATCCTTATATGATGGGGTGTCTTCCTGCATTTATTCAATTCATTATTTTCCACAGCATTGCCTTCTCCAAGGAAGATAATAAACCCGTGTTTGCTGTTATTTTTTCCTTTGTTTGTTTTGTTTCATTTTGTTTTGATAGTCATTATTTGCATGTTTTGTGTTTTATCAATGAGCCAAACAGTAAATTGAATTATGTTTTCTTTTTCCAACCCATTGTTTTAGCCAGTTCTTTTACAATGAAATACTGCTTTACAGAAAGAAGTATTTCATTGTAAAAGAACAACCCTGGTCATTTTATGGCAAACGTATGGTGATAGAATCAATAAATAGCATTCATAGAAACAAAAAACGCCAGTTAAAGAAATCTCTCTGTCCCAAGGGTGGGAGGTTGAGGTGTGTGTCTAGAATTTTGTGGTGGGAGCTAGAGGGATATGGCAGCAGGCTGATATGTATTTAAGTCTTAGGCTTATCATGCACCGTTTGAAAATGTTATGCTTACATTGATAAGAAAAATAATTAAGATAAGGCTTCCTGAAATAGAGATATTTTCAAATTCTTCTCTGGACTCGTGATCTAACTCCTGAAATCCCTGTTGTATTTCAGGTTAATTTAGATTTGTCGTGTTCCAGGAACAGTTCAATAGTCATCTATAAAGCATCAGTGTGAAGGGGAAGGACTCTCTGGGAGTCAAGCAATTACCTTGGAGTCCAATTCCGGAGCTCTCTGCAGTTGTGAAAAGGAACAGAGGCTCCTCTTTCATCATCGATTTGTGGGGATGGACTGATTAATAGTTTTTTTTATTTTTTTAACTTATGTTTTTGCAATAAATTGACTCTCCTAGGTCTCTATTTTATAGCATTGTAGCTCTGTATAAACAAAAAATGTGGTGTAAACATCATTGCCGAATGTAAATTACACAGAAAAGACTTGATGTTTTGCTAAATAAGAGGAACTTTGTGGAAGTGAGATTCAGTTAGATACTGAGAAGTAGTTCTCCTTAATAGACACAATGCCTTTTGAGGGAAGTGGAATGAAAAAAAAAATGCCCTGAGGATATCAATGGCTTCTTAAAAAGTGGGTCAAATGAAATAAGTGACTATAATTTTTAAAGTAAATTTCTACCTGCATGATAAAAATAGTAAAGATGTTTATCATACTTCACAGGACAAGGAAAAATGTATTATTATTAATGTTAAATATTTATACCATGTCTAGGATCTCAATAGCTGGCAATTGGCATTGTATACATAAAAACTGATCATAATCTAACAAAGTTGGCATTGAAACAGGAAGTAATTGAATTACAAAGAAGACATACTAACTGAAAAATTTATCTTCAACAGTAAGCAGAAATCTTACAGATGTCCTCAGGAGTTGGCTGCAAACAGAAAGATTTAAAGAATATATATATTTTTTATTTAGAAAGGGGAAAAAAAACAGTAACCTTACTATTTTGTCCATAAATAGCATCCTTCTAAAACATATGTAGTGCTCTGCTAATTAATGGATAATACAAAGAAATGCTTGTGAATATAAAATATGAAAAGCAAATGAGTTTATGTGCTGGGAAAAAAATGAAGTTAATAAAACAAAGGACATTATTTTGGAGTGAAAATAACATTTTGAAATAAATTGAGTTATATTTCAAAGCAGAATGTTTGGAGACATTCTTTCAGTTTTACAGTGATCAGCAATGAGCAGACAGTAATGAGTATGAAGGCAATTGTACTCACACAGCAACAGCGCCAGTGACTGTTTCAGAAAGATACGGATAGCTCCCATCTGGCGATCATACACATACATATCTGAGAGATACTGTGCGTTTTAATGTAGATGCAGGTAAAACGTTAAATCCTTAAGGTGTTTCTGCGGGATGCCGGGGTCATCATCCCCAGTCTATTCTCAAGTAAACTGCAATCACAGTCATAGCTACTAGGTGACTTGTCGAAATTTGCGCAGCCAATAAAAATGTCCCAACAAACACAAAGCAGACATTGAATTATAATCCAGCAAACTATAGGACTGGACTGAAATGATCCCCACACCATTAGCAAAATTTATGGGTATATATGCACAATCAGTCTACATTTGCAATCAGAAAAATGACATATGTTTTTCTAAAAGTTCATGTATCTAAAAAGTTTTGCAAAAAGCTTCATGTGAATTTTCCAGTCCAGGCATTCCAGCGTGAGCTTTTGCCCTTCCTATCTGCAAGAATACTATCAATCTCCAAACCACTGTTCTAGCATCTGAAAACCATGGCACCAATGTGCCTACTGCTGACATGAAAGAAACAAGAACTAAGGATCAGATGGACTTGGGAGGTACTGATGTCTGCTTCTCCTCACTGAAGTCTTCTTACAGATGTTGCTAAAATGCCACCAGAAGCAGCAAATTTACCTCCATCAGTAGATGAAGCTTTCCTCCACTTCCTAACCAATGGATATTTTTAAAAACAGATCCTCTTTATATTGAGAGAAACCCATTTTTGTTTGAGAATATTCTTGGCAGTGCTGGCTCAGATGGCATAAGGACCAGGTTGGAAGTGTTCTCCTAGATATTCCATCAGGGAGGGTCAGAGGAAGGAGGACTTGCAGGAGTCAAAACCAGGTCAAGTATGGAGTTAAAAAGTCCAGGAATATTCTATGCAGGGAAGGGATCCTCCCTCTTTCTCCACCTACTGCCTGGAATTCTATCTTGATGACTGGATGTCAGCAGCCATACTGGACCATGAATATGGGAGCCACACAGAACAGGGATGACAAGCAGAAAGCAGAAAGGCCTTAAGCCTTCATGGAGTGCCTGTAAGACATCTAGATTGCTAGCTGATGGGCTTTCTTCTCTTGTGAGGGAGAAACCAACTGCTTTCTTTCAAAATTATTGCTATCTGGGACTTCTCTGTTACATAAAGTCAAATGCAATTCTGACACTTAACAAGGGGAATGAAAAAAGGGTTGGAAACTCACTGTCATATTTGAGTATGGCTAAGGACTGAAAGGGCATTACTGAATGCATAATAGCTGCCCCAGAGGGAGGGTGAGGCTGTCCATGTGCATCTGTAAGAGAGGACATAGGGACCATCTCCCTGTGAGATGTCCAAAAGCTTTTGCGCCTCTTCATGTCCTCCTGATGAAACCGAAGTTCCTCTGCAGCGGGCACAAAGGGCTCCGGTTACCTTGACAGTGTTCACTCGGTTCACTGAGTCACTCTGCATAGGAGCCACCAGTCTGCTTCTAGTCCCTTAAAGTGCAGTCTTCAGAAATTAAGGACTCCAGACATGCTTGTACACCCATTGAGTGGATGGCAGTGCCCGGCAGGGGCAGGTAACCAGACTCAGGACCTTACTTGCAACGTTAAACCACATTAAGCCCAATTCCCTCCAGCTCCCGGCCTCCTGACCAAGCTTGGCTTGAGCTGCTCTGCTTGTGATCTAATGGCTGGCTTTCCATTTACACTTCTGCATCACCTCTTGTTGAATAACAGTTTTCATTTATTATGGAGAATATTTCCTTTCTTGTTACTTCACCAAAAAAGTAAAATTCTCCATTGAACTAAAGACAAAATGCATGAAGAGTGGACTAGACTAGCAGCCTGTGAAGAAGGCGTGAAGGAGGCCCCCACAGGCTGGCGGCAGAGTCACGCAGCCATCAGAAAATGACACAAACAAAGCAGGCCTGAGGAGTGCTCGTCACCATTTGACTTATATACATTGTTTGATTATTTTGTCTATAGTCATATCCTCTTATGAGCTAGGGCCTTGTTTTCTTCCCTCCCTGCATCTACAGGCCTAGAATGGTGCCTGGCACTCAAGCGACACTCAAAAAACATTTTTTATTCATAAACCGAATACAATTATTAATGGATAAATGAATAAATACATCTCTTTCTTTCCTAGCAGAAATAGAGGTGCATGATATCTACTCATTCCTCAGATCTATAAAGTCTCAGGTAATTAAAAAAATGAGTTTTTTTTTTCAGGCATGACATAGTATGAATCAAAACTGGCCTGTAGTAATCCCTTTCCCAAGCGTTTACAAACCAGGCATTAAAATCAACATTCACTCCCTTGATTTCAACATAGGAGACACCCTTCTTATTTCATTCCTTCTTTGAAACTGCTTTTTCCCCAGCTGTAGGATTGTCGTCCCTGTGCTCTGTATAGGAATATGACCCTGCACTAAAGTCTGCATCTCTGTGTCAACACATGCTCTGGCTAGAGTTTGTAAGTTACTCCCTAAGTATTATTTTACTTGGATAAATGATCAAAGTCATGTTGTAAATCAGGTGTTGTTTTCATATTCATTTTAGCATACAATTTATAAAACATCTGACCTAAGAGGGCCACAGTTATTTGTCAAGTTTACAATTGTTGGCCAATGAGGAAGGCAGGAGTCAGAGCTGTGAACATCATCGCATGCTTCTCCCATGAGGAGACACTTTTAGGGGTCAGCACTGTGCTCTTGCAGTCAGCTCCTTCACTGGAGGAGTGGGCTTACACTCACATGGTGGCTTCTGGGCTCAGAGTGCAGAGACTACACACACTGAGAGCCTGGGGGTATGCAGGAGGGTGGGTGGCCCCATCCAGGCCCTGTCCTGCCTCTGAGAGAGGTGAAGGGGGCAGCAACTCAAGAGTCCTACATGGAGGTAAAACTGCTCAGCAGGGCACAGGGCCTGGGAGGAGGCCAGAGAGGATTGTGGGCATGCACAGGATGCCTGTGAGTTTTCAACAGTGGTGACAGCCATATGCTCCTGATCACAAGAAGAAATTATATCGGGTCCAGTGGCGGCTGTCACAAAGCCATATGGGGTGGCATGGCAGCCTTCTGCAGGTGTGCGGTCATGTTCCCAGGACCCACAGCCCTGATGGCCAGAGCTCACTGCCTTCCTTGAGATTCTCGCCCTGGTTCTCAGGCTACACACAATACATGGTATAGGGCCACATCTATAATTCAACATACACACACATACCAAGTACAGGCACAACCCGTTTTACTGTTTTCGCTTTATCACATCTTGCAGATTATGGGAGTTCTTTACAAACTGAAGTTTTGTGTTGTGGAACAAGTCTCTTGCAACCATTTTTCCAACAGCAGGTGCTCACTTCGTGTATCTGTGTCACATTTTGGTAACTTACAATTTTTTAAACGTTTTTATTATTATACTTTTAATAATGCAATAATATTATTATATATCTCTGATCTATGATGAGTGATCTTTGATGTCACTATTGTAATTGTTTTGGAGGCACCACAAACGACACCCACAGAAGACAGTGATCTTCATCAAAGTGTTGTGTGTTCTGACTTCTCTACCGATGGGCAGTTCCCTGGTCTTTCTCCTTCTCCTCACGCCTCCCTATTTTCTGAGACACAACAGTATTGCAACTAGGCAAATTAGGAACCCCAAAATGGCTTCTAAGTGTCTGAGTGAAAGGAAGAGTTGCATATCTCTCACTTTAAACCAAAATCTAGAATCAAAATCTTCTGGTAGGGCTAATGCGGCTGGTGACTTTCAGTTGACTCCAATGCCCATTGAGTGTTCCAAAAACCCTAAGGCCCTGAAGAGTTATGCTAAATCTACTCTGCCTGTGTGCTGTAAATAGAGCAACACCCCTGGATGACAGTGCCTCTGTGTACAGCATGGCTTACAGAATGTTTTAAATCCATTGTTGAAGCCTACTACTCAAGAAAAAAAAAAGAAAAAGATTATTTTAAAAGTATTACTGCTCACTGAAAACTCACTTGGTCAGCCAAGAGCTTAACACTGTCTTCATGTCGGCTAATGCAATATCCATTCTTTAGCTCATTGATCAAGGATCTAGGAGTAATTTCAACTTTTAAGTTTAATTATTTAAGAAATATATTTTTATAAGGCAATAGCTGCTATAGACAGTGATTCCTCTGATGGGTCCAAGCGAAGTAAATTGAAAACCTGGAAAGGATTTACCATTCTGCATGAGAAATTGAGAAAATTCTGATTGGTGGGGGAAGATCAATATATCAACATTAACGGACATTTGAAAGAAGTTGATTACAACCCTCATGGGTGACTTTGAAGGGTTCAAGACTCCAGTGGAAGAAGTAACTGCAGATGTGGTGGAAATAGCAAGAGGATTGGAATCACAAGTGGAGGCTGAGGATGTAACTGGATTGCTGCTCTCTCAGGAGAAAACTTGAATGGATGAGGAGCGGCTTTTTATGGCTGAGTAAAGAAACTCACTTGAGATGAAAACTTCTCCTGGTAAAGATGCCGTGCACATTGTTGAAATGACAGCAAAGGATTTTGAATATTCTATAAACTTAATTGATAATGCAGCCCCAGGACTGGAGAGGCTTCACTCCAATTTTGAAAGAGGCTCTACCGTGGGTAAATGCTATCAAGCAGCATCTTCTGCTACAGAGAAATCTTTCATGACAGGAAGTGTCCATTGAGCCAGCAAACTTCATTGTTGTCTTATTTAAGAAATTGTCACAGCTACTCCAACCTTCAGCAGCCATCAGCATTGAGGCAAGACCCTTCATCAGCAAAAAATTATGACTCACTGAAGGTTCAGATATTTGTTAACATTTTTCAGCAATAAAGTATTTTTAAGTTAAGGTATGCACTTTTTTTTTTTTTTTTTTTTTTTTTTTTTTTTTTTTTTTTTTTTGGCCATAATGCGATTGCAAACTTAGGCCACAGTATAGTGTAAAAAAATAAGTTTTGTATGTACTCGTAAAATCAAAAAAATTGTGTTACTAACTTCTTTGCAATATTTATTATAATGACCTAGAAACGAACCTGCAATATCTCCAAGATGTGCCTGCAAGCAAATTGTTTCTTAAGGCTTTTTCTACATAGAAGTGAAATCCATAAGTAAAGCAATTAAACAGATTATTAAAGCAAAAAATGAGCTCAAAATCATCAGATTTTTGAGTCAAAGGCATATTTTTTAAGCTTGACTATGCAGGTAATTACCCCATTTCTGTATTCTGCTTTGTGAACACAGATATTTACTTAAATAGATGTGCTTTTTGTTCATATACCAGACGAGTAAACATCACACTCTCACACACATTATTGCTTCTACCAGAATAAAATTCCGTGTGTTACCATCGCCTTAGGAACACCGAGTTTGAAATATCTGCACCATCTGGAACAAATGGCTTAACTTCCAGCTGTATTAACTTAGCTCTTCATCTTGTCTAAGTGGAAAAGCCGAAGGTATAAGCCTTTCCCTTGTATAGAGTGTGGGATAGACTTGGAGGTTTAATCTATACTCTGTCTATACTTGGGAAGCCTAGACTGAGCTAAAGGTATTTCCCCCCATGTCCAAAGTAATCATTTGTCATTTTTTCACAGCAGGATTGCTTGAATGTCTGGTCCAGCTACGGCCATCTCTCTCGGAAGGGATTACATTTCTGCGGAGCTTCAGAATTCCTGCAATGCTTTGATCTTGCTGAATCTATGGCATGATTGTAACTGTGAGTCATGCTACACGGTTTACTACAAAAGGGATCATGATGGAATGGTGGACTATGGGGAAGGGAACATTGATTCTGAGACTTGTAACTCTTTTCAACATTTTGAAACAGAGATTATTTTACTTATCTTGGACACGAAGGCAGCATAACATCGCAGCGAGGAGCGTGGGCTCTGCATCCATGATCCTAGGTGGGAATCCACCTTCTGCAGCTCACCAGCTCTGTAACTGTGGGCTCACCTTTTCTCTTCTTGGCACCTCCTTTGCCTGCGCTGTGAAATGAGGACAGGATTAACACCGATTTCATGGAGATACTTTGAGGGTTAAAAAGGCAATTTAATGTAAAACATTTGGAACAGTGACTGGTTAAAAATGTAAGCATTCTATTGATAGTAGTTGTTATTAGAAAAGCTACTTTTTTGTTGTCTTTTCACGTTATGCTATTCTAGAATGAGTTAGTCTGCACAGACTCTCAATACACATCCCTCAACTAAAAAAAGCAAGGGAGTGGGATATCAAAGTTTTCGAACATATGCATCTAGTTGTAATTTTTTTCTTATTTGAGTCTCACAACTTTCTGTGATATAAGTATTTTTACTCTTATTTACACATGAAACAACTAAAAACTATGCAACTTATGTAGAATGCTTTATATGCTATGTATAAACACTGTATCAAAATTATATTAAGAGATATAATTCTACAATTCCATAGGAGATAAGCTTACCAACTCCAATGTATGTTTGTCAAAATTAAGTTATAAGAGTATTATCAATTACCCATTTTATGATCATGTACAAATTATAGTTGGACACATTTCTAACAAAATTAATTAAATGAAATAAAAAGTCAATTAAGCAATCAAAAATAGTTGACTTTCATTCTTGTGACTTTCATTGTTGATGGCGTGATTGGGCCTTTTTAAAAACACAATTATTTTCTATCTTTTAAAAAAGGTTACATTTTAAGGTCAGCACATGGGTAGAAGATGGTTGAGAGTAAAAATAACCCTTTACAAAACCATAAATAGCCCCTACAACATCATCAATATACCACATTTAGAGTATTGCACTCTGTGGAGAATTCTTTTGGCACATCAAAGTTTGAACTGGAGAGGGAATGAGATAATTTTACATGTGGATAATTGGACATTGAAGCCACTCTGCCTTTAGGATAACAATAAGATTTTGAGTGATGGTTTAGGGGTGGTTGTGAGCTCCAAGTGTCTCTCCCTGCCAGCAGGATATGTGTTATTCTAATATTGTCTGTATCATTTTCATGCAAGGTTACAGACTTTTTAGTTACAGAAAAGATTAAAAGTGATCACATAATAACACTTCGCATAGATAGTATTACATTCTACATGCTGGGTATATATTAAATGCTTATATGACAGGACTCAATTTTTTTTTCTGATATCTCATGCCTTTTTGAATTCATTCATCCATTCCTTAAACATAAGTTTAATAAATTCAAGATAATTCTGCTAACTGTGTCTCATCTTTGCTTCGTATTAATTTAACAGTTTTACTTATGGACTGAAATATATGTCTACCTGGCTTGCAATGAGCGGACTGAGATTTTATAGCTACTGCATTCTTGGTGCTTGGTTCCTGTTGGTGTGTCATGCTCTGATAACCCTCATGATTTGGGTTTAGAGGTATTTCTCCCATCTGTCATGGCTCCTTTAGCAATTTCGTGTTTTATCTGCCAGCGTCCACCGTGTGTGCCGGCTCAGCTTCTGCGACACAGGCAGCTGATTGAAGCAGCAATGAGCTGAGGGCTCTGCTGTTTTGAGGGTGTGTGGAGAAATTGAAGGACCGCATCCAAACGCAGACACCAAGGTTGTGTGCCAAAGGAAGTCTGGCTGAAGATGTTTTGAAACTCTAAAAGCAGGCTTTTCAAAACTCTGATGCTTATAAATAAATGAACAGAGTTCACATATCACGTGTACATGTTATAGGATATGCTTTACAATAAAAAAGATAAAAATTTTCTTGTAATATGGAGGCCCTAACCATTGTTTTAGAAAAAGTCATTTTAAAAGAATTAAGGTTCTGTTTTGTTCATGGAATCAGCATGTACTTATTGAATACGTCTTGGCTGCTAGGTACTGAGCTAATTACTAAGGGGCCACAGGTTAACTGGGAATGGTTCATTCCTTCAAATCAGCCTTAATTAGTGGGAGGGCTTTGAGGCCAACCTGACCATGAAAAATCAAAATACTGTGAAAAAACAAACGTAAATAAAAGACCTATGGCCAGTCAAATCAGTGATTTTATTCATGGGTGGAAATGTTCATGGTTTCCTCAACTTCTTCATTTGTCCTCATTCCCTGATATTAGGATACTATGAACACTGCAACCAAGACAGCATGCTTATTTTATTCAAGTCCAAGAAACAGTATACATTCAAAAACTAATCAGAAGTAAATAGTTTTGAGCCTGATATAAGGAGTATAATTGTGCTTCCTTTGTTAAACAGTGTTTCCCAGTTTTCTGGCATGTGTAAATTGATATTTTTTAGTAATACTCGTGTTTTTACTTGCATGTATGTGAACTCCATGTTGAGTGAAACTCAAGAACTAGTCTGCATGGATTTTGCTCTCCTATCTGCAGCAAATATGTGTACCACAGCTTTGTGAAAAATAAGTTCTGTAAGCCCAACATATTTTTTCCTCTATATACTGTTCTAAGTCTCATAAACAGAACTAAGAGGAGTGATGATGCTTGCATTTGACTTCCAAGGTTGAGGTTATACAATCTAAAACAATGTGTCAGTGAGTGGATGGAGACACTTATTGAAATGGAAATGCTTTAGAAACACTATTTGGTTTGGGGAATGCTAGTGATATAGAGGAACTTTCAATAGAGGCCAGAGGGAAAAAGGGCCATTTAGAACAACAAGGACACAGAAGAAAAGGATGACTCCATTTGAAGCAGCTGGTAGAGGATTCTACTTTGAAAAAGAAATATCCAGATGATAGAAAAAGTTGTCTTTTGATATTTATTGGAAACTACGCAAGGACACTGTTTCATTTTCAAGAAAATACAATGATCAGTGTAATAATTCATCAGAACTATCATGCTTTTTAGTTCAAAGCATTCTAACAATTTTTTCACGAGAAAACGTAAAAAATAGCTAACCCTCTTTCTGTTTTAATTAGATTCTGCATCTGTTTGAAAGAAGTTTGATAAATATTCTTTCTTATAGACTTCCTGTCACATGACTGGTCCAATATGCGGGCTGGAGGTTGAGGATATTTATGACCAACTTCTTAGATTCTCTGACAAGAAAAATTCTCATTGGTGATTCATATTTCCTACAGAGCTAATGAAATGAAGTCTATTTAAAGGTATCTGCACACCGTATCAATTCTTAACAAATACGATGAGAGGCATGGGATTGGAGATGATATGTACTCAAACGTTATGAAACATTATGTCCAAACTTCACATAAGTTTATGTGTTGTGGCATTTTATTGGCTGTAGAAAGCCTGATGATGTCTTCATTTTCTCTGTGAATCAACTATGCTTTAAAAATCTAAGTTATTTCATTAGTTTCATGTCAAAATACGATAATGACTTTCTCTACACCACACAGAATTTTAAAACTTATTATAAAGATATCAGACAATGCAGTGACTACATTAAACTTACATAAATTTATACAAAGTTTAGTGTATGATTTAAATAGTTGACAGTCAAGAAAAGGTCAGAGCAATTAGAGGCAGGATTCGCCACTGGAAACAGGAGCAAGAGCTGGAACTCTTTCCACAATCTCATGATTTAGTGGATGAATCCTAACAGAAGTCACATGGCTTTATTTCATGGCCAGAACCACCAGGCTGTTACAGGAAAGCCAAAAAGACCAGACAGAGAAGAATGTTTCCTTACAGTAAAGGCAAAATTTAGACATTTAAAATTTGTTTTCTAACAAATGAGATATTTTTAGCTTACACTGAGAAAATTAAGAAATTCATCTGACATGTCATTCTTACTCTCAAAACAAGGCCTACTTTGACTGTAATATATGTTTTCTAGAAGTAATAACATTAACTTTTAAATTCATTTTAAATGTTGATATGTAAATAAAGTAGAAACGTGGATATGCTTTACCCAAACTATTAACATTGTCTTCATACTAGAAGCTCACTTTAAAAGATAATGAAAACTTAATATAAAAACATAATCATCATAGTTTAAATATCTAAAACTAGTATGTTTGTGTAAAATTTCTGCTTATTAGTTTGTTTCGATAATAATCTTTTTTAACAACTAGGAAATTATACTTTCTACATTAGTTTCTGTAAATGTAGAAGTAAAAGACCTCCTTGTCTTAAAAGAATAGGTAGACTAATATAAAAATATCAAGATTAAAAGCTAAAAAAATTAACATAGCTGTACCTAGTGAGTTGGCTAATGTCAGCACAGTACATGCTGTTTGCAACATCGCTTCTCATGAAATATTTTACTGGTTATGGTTCATGTAAAATTATTGCTTAATTATAATTAAACATGATTCACCACAATGCAATCCATTTGTTCATCTCATTTGTTAATTCATTTTAGAAATAAATATTGAGCTGCAAAAATGTGCATTGTGCTATTCTAGTATCCCTTATTGAATCCAAATATCTTAATTGGGCTGCTACTGTAAAAATGGTAATTTTTCCAATTTTTCATACTGTTACCATATATGTTTTTAGAAACCTAATTGCTATATAAATTTTGTGGCAATGTGCATTTAAATGTTTTTGTGATTATCCACATTAGGAAGGAGTTCAACCTATCTTAAAGAGGAACATCCAAATTGCAACGTTGGTGTCATGTGCACAGTTCCTGTTTAATAAATATTTATCTTTCTTACTGCAAAATTAACATAAAGCCCAGAGGGTAAATGCTTTATAACTATATTTCATTCTGGAAATATATTATTGAAACAACTTAACCAACAAGAGAAAAGACAAGAACAGCAAGAGTTCTAAACACTGATATAACTACTTCAGTAGTCGCCTTTTGGATTCCATTCAAAACCCATAACTTCAATTAAGTAGATGTATTAGTCCATTTTTGTGTGGCTATATAGAGATACCTCAGGCTGGGTAATTTATAAAGAAAAGAGGTTTATTTTGGCTCATGATTCTGCAGACTGTACAGGAAGCCTGATGCTGGCATCTGCTTCTGGGGAGGCTCAGGAAGCTTTTAATCATGGTGAAAGGTGTAGGGGGAGATGGCATATCACATGATGAGAGTGGCAGCAGGAGAGGGAGGAGGTGCCAGTCTCCTTTGAACAACTAGATCTCTGGTGAACTCAGAGAGAGAGAGAACTCACTCATTACCTCCAGGACAGCACCGAGACATTCATGAGGGATCTGACCCCATGACCTAAACACCTCCCACCAGGCCCCACACTGGGGATGGCATTTCAACGTGAGATTTGAAGGGGACAAACATAGAAGCCACGTAAGTAAAGAAATGTGTACTGAGAAATGGAGAATGCAAGAGAATAACTGGATTGAAACACAGTTTTTTTTTCATTCTTTATAATGACATCCTGTTATTAGAGTTGAAATAAAATGTGAAAGTAACAAATTTCTCATGACATATACAATGATCAAGCGTGTGCTTGGGGTTGATATGCTTATGCATACATATACATATACAGTGAAATTTCTCTATCAGCGTGAATCAAAATCTAGGATAAAAAAGGTAGAACCTATTATATTTATATGTAAATAATGCCCTACAGGTGCCTTACCTAAATTATCTCATGTAAACCTTAAAAGAAAAAACCTATATGGTGATTTTTTAAATTCCTTTTAAGTAGAAAAAAATTGAGAATTGGTTATTTGGCATAAGATAAAATGGCTAAAAAATGATAATGTCACAGTTTAAACCCAAGTGAGATGGACTCTCAAGGAATATCCTGAGCTTTCTTGTCAATGAAACAGCACATGGCTTTGACCATCGTGAAAACTTGTACTAATCCACTGCTGTTTAATTGGAAAATGATGACCTTTCCAGAGATGCCAATAGATGACAGATTGCTATCAGTTGGTGATTAATAAAATTCACTACAATAATATTATAAGACAATATTATAATAAAATAACAACTGATTTAGGCAAAAATCATCAAGGAATGTCAAAATGAGTGTGTGAAAGTTTAAACAGCAAGACTTGTATAGTCACAAAGTATCTCAGAACAGAATTCTCTTAAACACAAAGAGTAAAATAGTGACGTGGCAGTGGAGAAACTGAGTCCACATCATTTAACATAATGATCAAAGTGACCCCTTCAGTAATGAAACTCATTGACAGTGTGTGCTTCCTAACATGGTCACTGAGAAAAACTTTGTGTCATTTCTGTGGTATTATTATCAAAAATATAAAACCCAAATCTAGTCATGAGAAAACAACAGACAAATCCCAAACTGAGGGATAATATACAGAATGTGTCTAATACTCTTCTAAAATATCAATACATTAAGTACTCACTTAATGAAACTGATAGGTTCCTGGAAACTAAGACTTAAAGCAAAATGACTTAAAATCATTTTTGCTCATCAATATTAGGAAAACGTGATGTTGCAGGAAGGAATTTTATTTGAGGATCTTCTGTACATCATTTTGCTTAAAGTTGCAATTTCCAAGAACCAAGTGAGGACTAACTGTATATTGTAAGTGAGGACTTACTGTATATTGAAATATAAGAAGAATCAGCAACTCTTCTAAATTAAGTGAGGCCAAAGAGATGTGGGAACTGAATAAAACCCATCAGCTTGGATTTACTTTGTCTATAAGTAACATTATAGGGAAAGTTGGTAAAATCTATCAGGTCTGTATATGAAGGAGGAGTATGACCTCAGTGTCGGTTTCCTGAGTTGGATTATTATACTTCGATGTTGTAAGAAAATGCCTTATTTTCAGATAGTATACAGTGAATTATTTAGGGAAGAAGAGGTGTCATATATACAACTTCCTCTTACACATTTCAGAAAAAGAAAATGTGTACATATGTGCAGAGAGAAGGGGGACTAGAGAAAGCAAATGTAGTAATGTGTTAACATTTGGGGATTCTGAGCGGAAAGTGTTAGGGAATTTTTTGTGCTATTCTTAAAACTTTTCTGAAAGTCTGAAATTATACAAAACTAAAAAAAAAGAGAGAAGCATATATTATATAGTCAGCCCTCTGTTTTCACCAGTTAATTTACAAATTCAACCAACCTTGGATCAAAAATAATCGGAAAAAAATTAAAATAATACAAATAGAAGGCAATACAGTGTAACGACTGTTTACATAGCATTTGCTTTCATTAGGTAGTATAAGTAATCTAGAAATGGTCTAAAGTACAAGGCAGGATGTGTATGTACGTTGTATGCAAATACTACACCTTTTGATATAAGGGACTTATCATCCTGGATTTGGTATCTGAGAGGGTTCTGAAACCAATCACCTGTGAATGCCATCAGATGACTGTGGTATTTACAGTGCCATTTAATACAAAAAAAAAGCCTGCAATTTGATAAAACATCATAGTTTTCAAAAATCATGCAGGTAAAGTTCAAATAGAACATTTGACTTAAAAAAAAAGTGATTTTATAAACCTAATATACCAAAATGGTTGCAATCACAGATCATCATTTCTTAAAGCCTTGCTAGTTATTTCTCCTATATTTCTTTCTCTCCATGAAATTTTTGCAGGGGCAGAGGGAATAATTAAAAATAAATACTCATGACAATATGCCATTAATAATATTAACAAATTGTATTGACTTTTTACTGCAAAATATACTAAATGTTTTATATGTACTGTCTTATTTAATTTTCACATCTCCTAAGGATTGGCACTACAATTACCTTTATTTTATGAAAGAGAAACTGAGTCTTAGAGATGAAGAACTTTCAAGGACCAGCCACGTAGAAGACTGTGGCACAGGGAAAGAAAGCAGAAACTTCCATTCTACCACCCATGCTTGCTGCAGTAAGTGCTTTCAGTGAGAGAGATCTACCCTGATGCGATCTCAAATCAGATATACTTCCATTTTCTAAATGTTCAACTGCATCTTCTGATTCAGCTGTTTCATAAAATATTAGTATTACAGTTTTTTAAATTTCCACATGGAAATTTTATTTCAAAATATCACAATTCATTTAAAATTCAGAATTCTTTCTGAAGCTGAAAGTGTTTCATTTAATTATAGCTTATTTTGAGTTATGAAGCCTGTATGGCTCCTATACATCCTTGTTCTAATTTTTTGGTGTTTTTTTTTTTTTTTTTCCTCACTTTGTCACCCAGGCTGGAGTGCGGTGGCGTGATCTCAGCTCACTACAACCTCCACTTCCTGGATTCAAGCAATTCTCCTGCCTCAGCCTCCCAAGTAGCTGGGATTACAAATGCCCACTGCTATGCCTGGCTAATTTTTGCATTTTTTTTGTAGAGATGGGGTTTCACCATGTTGGCCAGACTGGTCTCCACCTCCTGACCTCAAGTGATCTGCCCCCTTCGGCCTCCCGAAGTGCTGGAATTACAGGTGTGAGCCACGGTGCCTGGCCAGCTCTAGTTTTCTGAAAACTATTTTCAGGTTTCCATATCCTGGCCCTCCTCTCCATCAAAAAGCCTGAGGTCAATAATAAATAATGCCAATACATTGCTGAGAGAAGTAATCACAGAGCTGATTAAAGTATATTCATTTATCCACGTTTTTCCAATTTTTAATCAACTTTTTTGGCATATAATTTTAAGAAAAATAAAAGGCACCCATTTAAAAAATGTAGTTAATGAGGCCAGGGGCAGTGTCTCATGCTTGTAATCCCAGCACTTTGGGAGGCGGAGGCGCACAGATCACAAGGTCAGGAGATCGAGACCACCCTGACCAACATGGTGAAACCCCATCTCTACTAAAAAAACAAAAATTAGCTGGGTGTGGTGGCGCACGCCTGTAGTCCCAGCTACTCGGGAGGCTGAGGCAGGAGAATCACTTGAACCAGGGAAGTGGAGGTTGCAGTGAGCAGAGATCGCACCACTGCACTCCAGCCTGGCAACAGAGAGAGACTCTATCTCAAAAAAAAGAAAAAATAGTAGTTAATGAGTATTGTTTCTTCTTAAATAGACTTTATTTGCTAGAGCAGTTTTAGGTTTATAGAATAATTACACAGGAAGTAAAATTAATTTCCATATAATTCCGCCCACCCACATGCACCACAGTCTAGCTTGTATCAATTGTCTTCTGTAATGGACCATGCCTTTGTATCTAAAAAGTCATCACCAGATCCAAGGTCGCCTATATTTTCACCTCTGCTATCTTATCAAAGTTGTGTGATTATTTTTGTCTGTTTCACATTTAGTCCTGTGGCTCTTTTCAGTTATTTTATTTGAAAAGTTTAAAGTCTGTGTCTGGATTCATTTTATTGTTGTTCCAGCCACATTTATAGAAAAAACTCTTTGCTCCACTGAATTGCCTTCGGTCTTTGATGAAAGACTAGTTGAGTGTATATGTTTGAGTCTATTTCAGGGATCTCTATTATGTTCCATTGATCTATTTGCCCATTATTTTGTGAATATCACACTTTCTAGATCACTGCAGCTTTGTAGTAAGTTCTGGGTCATGTGGTTTGTGTCCTCCAGGGTCGCTGCTCAGTACTGTGTGGGTTATGCTGGGTCCTTTGCCTTTCCATATGAACTTTAGAATCAATTTTTCTATGTTAAAAAATAATTTCCTGTGATTTTGATAGAGATTGTGGTGAATCAATACATCAAGTTGGGGAAAATCAACATCTTAATAATATTGAGACTTCCTATCCATATTGTGGAATATCTCTCCATTTATTTGGATCTTGGATTTCTCTTACTAGAGTTGTGTCATTTTCTCATATAAATCTTGTACATACTTGTTAGATTAATTCTTACATATTCAATTTTTGTCTGCTGATATAAATGTTA
Source organism: Homo sapiens (assembly GCF_000001405.40). Classification (NCBI taxonomy): domain Eukaryota; kingdom Metazoa; phylum Chordata; class Mammalia; order Primates; family Hominidae; genus Homo; species Homo sapiens. The sequence goes on along the minus strand of NC_000010.11, from coordinate 4,421,590 downwards.
TTGTCATGGAATTCAAATTTCCAATTTTTCAGAGCTAGTATATGGGAAAGCAATTGACTTTTATATATTATCCTGTATCCTGCAACAATCTTGTTATAATTCCTTTCATGCTCCAATAGTATTTTGATGGATTTAGGGTTATTTTCTTATAGACAATCATATCACATAATACCATCTCTGCATAAGGGTAGTTTAATTTCTTCTTTCTTTCTCTGTATAATTTTTATTTCCTTCTATTGCCTTACTACATTAGCCAAGACTACCAGTATGATGTTTAATTAGAGTGTTCAGAGGGGAAATTCCTGCCTTGGTCTCAATCTTAGGCAGATGGTATCAACTTTCTCACCATTAAGCATGACATGTAATGTAAGTTTTTTGGAGATGTTCATTTTATTGGAAAAGTTCCTCTCTATTCTTAGTTTGTTGAGCATTTTAATCATGAATAAGTGTTGGATTTTGTCAAATCTGTTCTTTCATCAATTGATGTGATAATATGATATTGCTTCTGTAGTCTGTGAAATGATGGATTATGCTAATTGATTTTCAAATGTGGAAATAGTCTGGCACACCTGGAATAAATCCCACTTCAGTGTGGAGTATAATTCTTTTTATATGTTATTAAATTGAGTTTTTGAACTTATTTGTGATGGTTTGCGCATCTATATTTATTAAAAATGTTGGTTTATCATTTTAATTTTTTATAATGTTTTTCTCTGGTTTTTGTGTTCGATAATGCGGTTGTTATAGAACAAGTTAAGAACTATTCTCTCTCTGGTACAGATAGAAGTTCATTAAAAAAAATAAAACTCTTCTCTGTTTCTATTTTCTGGAAAAGATTGTAGAGAATTAGCAAAATTTCTTCCATAAAAAAAATTTGGTAGAATTCACCATATGGCTGGTACTTTCTGTTTTGGAAGGTTATTAATTATTGATATAATTTCATTATTCAATATTTTCCCATTCAGATTGTCTATTTCTCTTTGTGTGTTTCTGTGGCTTGTGTTTCTAGTAATTTGTCCATTTCAGCTAAGTTGTCAAAGTTTTCGACATAGTTTTCATAAAATTGTTTATTATCATTTTAATGTCTTTGGGATCAGTGGTGATGGTCCCTTTTACATGTCAGATATTAGCTCTTTTTGCCTTCTCTCTCCCTCTTTTTTTTTTGTTTGTTTGTTTTTTTTTTTTGGCTAGCCTCACTAAAGGTAAAGAAGCTACAAGGAGTGAATTTTATTATCCTACCAAAGAACCAGCTTCTAGTTTTGTTGATTTTCTCTATTAATTTTCTTTATAAAATTTTATTACTTTTGGCCCTAAATTTTATTGTTTATTTTTCCTCTCTTGCTTTGTATTTAATTGCCTCTCCTATTTCTATTTTTCTAAGAAAAGTTTAGATTATTGTTTTTTGGATCTTTATCTTTTTTTCCTCACATCTGCATTCTACACTATAATTTCTCTCTAAGGACTACTTTTGCTATTTACTGTATTTTCATTTAATTCAGAATATTTTAGCTTTCTCTTGGGAATCTTTCTTTGATCCATGTGTTACTTAGAAGTATGTTTTTTAATCTCTAGGTATTTTGGAATTTTCTAGCTATCTTTCTGTTATTCATGTCTAGTTCAATTTCATTGTAGTTTGAAAGCATTCTTTGTATGAATTACATTCTTTTAACTTTTTAAGTCCTGTTTTATAGCCCAGAAACTGGACTACCTTGGTGAGTGTTGCATGGGATCTTAAGAAGAATGTGTATTCTGCTGTTGTTGAATGAAGTAGTCTATAGACGTCAATTATATCCGGTTAATATTTGGTGCTGTTGAGTTAAGCTATGTCCTTACTGATTTTCTGGCTCTTAAATCTGTTTCTGACTGTGGAAGTTGCAGTCTTCTACTATGACAGTAGATTCATCTATTTATCTTTGCATTGCTGTCAGTTTTTGCCTCACGCATTTTTAAGTTTTCTTGTTTAAACAAATGCACATTAAGAATTGTGTCTTTTTGGAGAGTTGAACCCTTTATTGTTAAATAGTGTTCCTTTTTATCCCTGGTAATTTTGTTTGCTGTGAAATCTGCTTTGTCTAAACATTGATTCATTTTTTTAAAATTAGTTCACACACACGTTTATTGAAATAGTTCTAACCTCTGCACAGAGACCCTTGCCAAAGCTCCTGGACAGGACAATTGATTCCACCAGGTAGGGCGGCAGGAACTAAAACAAAAAGGAGCTGGATGTAAGGTATTTGGAGTGACAAATAGGTAGACTGGTAAAATCAGAAGTTATGATTACATGTCTTCAATTGCATACCTTAAGCAGAAACCTTTTATGGTACTATTATAGACACTTAAGTGCCTCTCTGTCCCCATACCTGTAAAGGGATAAAATAAAGGAATCACCTCCAAACTTTGGGCATATTCCTGTAAGAAAGAAAAGAAGTATGAGAAAAAGTGTAACTGACGCTATTATATATCCTCCATATCATGATTCATTTTATTTTTCCACAAAAAAAGTCAAGTAAAAATAATGTTTCTCAAATTGTTTTGGTCATTGATATTATGTGTGTATTATGTATGAAAAAAAAATTTTAAAAATTTGAAGCCACTTTAGAACCAATGAAGTAACCTGGGAACCATTGTCAGAACTGGCTTTATTTTTTAATTGAAAAGGATACAAATCTAAATTTGCATACATTTCAAATTTACATTTGCCATTGGCATATTATTTATAAAAATTTGGAAACTTCTGAATTATTCCTAATGAATAAGTAATTGATTTCGTAAAATATATACTTTACTTAAGTAAAATTAGTCTAAATTGGTTGTGTGAATAGTTCCTTTCTAAAGAAAATGCTGATCATTTTTAGTTTACTAATGTTAAGGGTAAATATTTGAAACTGAAGGAAAACATTGTCAAATTATCAGACATAAATAAATATTTAAAAGAAAAATTTGCTTTGAATTTACATTTCATGATTAAAGTGAAATGTTGAAAAATAATTAAAATGTTCATAAAATAATACATTTTATGGGCAAAATAAATCATACTCTTCCACCACCCTGTCACTATTTACTAAAAAATAGACCATTTTATCTTTAAGATACTTAAGCTCATTTCTTGAAGGATACTAGGAGGAGACTTTTGTTCAACTCTCTGCAGGAAGCTTCTGGTGATGAGGAGGTCCTCTTCTAGTACAGTGCAGGAGAGAGAAGTAGACAGAATGGAATTCCTTGATGTTAATATAATATAAAAGACCCAAAAGGTCATCTAGTAGCCAGATGCTTTATATAAACTTGAAATAGGCGGTTACTATATGCCTGTTTTTCAATCCTGGACCACTTTATTTACCTATGCAAACATGACTTTAATTAGAAAGATTTTGACCCGATTCATGTAAAGCTCACCTCAGAAACACCTGGAATTTAGAAAGACAAGATCCTACAAATTGCCATGTGCAGAATCATTATTTGTATTACCAAGGAATTTGTGCACTTCATTTTTATGAGAGGATTTAATTATGTTCAGCTATAGAAAAGCTTAGAAGAAGCTCTTTATTAAAAACAAGATTAATACATGAACTAAAATGTTCATTCTAAAAATTCAAAGCACAAAACTTTTAAATTGATGTAATAAGGCTGACATCCAAAGAAAAAAATAACATTATACATATTAAAAGGATGATAAAAATTGCATGATGAGATGAATCTATTCATAAAATTGTAGTGCTCTCTTACAGTGGCCTCTGTAGGGAGTAAAATATTGTCATTGTAAAAGTCTCTGTACCCTGCACCATAGCTCTGAAATTCCACCAGCAAAAATACATATGTTTGGCTTTGGTAGAATTTGGTAAAAATTTATCTATTATGAAAATATTCCAAAATATACAAACATGCAAAGGACAGCACAATGTGGCTGAATGCTTAGCTTCAAGAATTACCAATATTCTGTCAATCTGTTCTTCCCAAACCCTGGTCATGATATCATATCTTCGATAAACGCTTCAGGAGGTAGAGAGGATTTTTGTCTTCCTATACAATTTCCAGTCTTTCAGAATTACTTAAAAACATTAAAATATTTTTACAGGAATTGATAACATATTAGCCAATTAATATCACTACAAAAATCAAAGTGATAAAGTAATCACATTCCAACCAATACATGTTGGAGGGTTATTAGGTTGCAGTTGGTATTAGATTGGTAATAGGCCCTGATACAAATCTTACTAACGTCACTGCTTTGTCTGGTCTGAACGACTCTGGATGAGACGTAAGGACCAAAGTAGAGAATATTCATGCTTGCTGGCCTAGTTAAGCCTTTGTTCATCCATCTGACGTCTCTAAGATGAATGAGTGCGTATTCCCTGTTCCCTTAGAACTCTGAAAATAAAGAGTTATTTTTCTGCAGTTGGAATCAATGGATAAACAGACAACAATTTTTCTATTGATTAAGGAAGGTAATGCTAGAAAATAAATTGGATTTAAATCTGACTGGCACATGTCAAGTGAAGTAGGGTATCAGAACTAACTTCTCTAGTTTCTCTAAGCCCGTATACATATGCAAAAGGGATTTGAGCATTGGATACATGTTTTTAATGTTCAGGGTGTGGAATTTAGGCTCTGGAATGACCCAGGACATACATGATCTTAGCCTAAAATAAGGTGGAGAAGCCAGAAGGAAGAGTCAGAACACTCAGGACTTCAAGATGGATTAGATGGAGAGGGAGGCAAAGTAAGAATCAACAATAAAGCCCAAGTTTGTGATTTCACAAACTGTGTGGGTGGTGATGCCGCTGAGATACAGAAGTCAGAGGAGTGGAGTCAAAAGATGGGTGAAGGTGGTGTAGGATAAGCAGATATGAGGTACTTATAAGTCTAGTTTTCCCATAGCATCATGGGTGTGGCTCTGAAGACAATGATTGGAAAAGGCATACCTGGGAAATTTGGGGATAGTTGTGGGTGCTTATGGAGCAGGATGCATGTCATATCATAAGGTGGAAGAAAATGAGGCTGAAAAATATAAATCAACACACAACAGCTTACAAAGCACTGGGTCAGAATGGTGTCATTGTTGAGACTCTATATGCACCCTACTCTTCTAAGTTCTCCTTTGAACCTTATTTTCCAGATTTTCTTGTCACCATCATTGGCTGCATCCTTCCAATGAGTGATATTCAAATGACATTTAGCAGGCAGAAGGAAAAGCCATGTTTTCTGTTGTGTTTTTGAATGCTGACCCGGGGTTGGCCTCCAGGTGCAGTGTTGAGGAAACCATGTACTGGTACATGGCAGCTGAAGTTATGCATTTTTGCTTCTTTGCAATTTCTGCATTTCCAGGTTGGTTTTGTTTTGTTTTTGCTTTTAGTTGAATAGTACTGTGATTAAACTTGCGTTGCAATAAATAAGACTTTATTGCTGACAGTAAATGATGAAAGATTTAGACGAAAGACATTAATTGCTCAGATACAGTTTATTTAGATGTTGGTGAATGTTTTAATTGAGTCTTTCATCATATCTTTTTTGATAGCATGGGAAATCTGTGGATTGAGTGAAAATCTTGGCATTTGACTTGATAGCATATCAATACTTATGTGAATGAAAGTCTCTTGTGATATAATACACATCTTTTCTTTGGAACTATCTGGTTGTCAAGAAGTATAACGAAAAGAACTAGATGATGTCCATAAAATCTGTGACAACAATAATGTAGAGCAAGAATGCTTTTAAGTCAATATGACAGTATAAAAAATGAAGCTCAAAAGATGTTAGACTTAAATTTGGGGCAGAAACCAACAAACTAAATATAACACGTATATGATTTTCCCCTCCCAAACATCTATTTCTTTCCAAAGAAAAGTTATTTTAACTTTATCTTGTTGCATATTCTTTTCAACTATAATGTGATTTATCAGTAAATGCTCAGTCAGTCTTGAAAATATTTTCTCAATGGTCTGTAAGAGAAATGTTCACTAATTTAACAGTATTCTTATCACAATATTGCTTGTCTGAAGGTGCTGGGACATGGTTTGAAAGCCTCTCTCTACCTAACACACTTCTTTTGTTTCCTCAGGCAAGAGACAATGCTGATGCTACAGCACTGGAGCTTAGAATTCACACTTCATTGATAACATGCATAACTTTTTGAAATATCTTCTAAGTAAACACTTTTTAAAATATTGGGGTAGAAAACTATATGCAGCTAGGCATGGTGGCTCACACCTGTAACCTAAACACTTTGAGAGGCCAAGGCGGGAGGATTGCTTGAGACTAGGAGTTCAAGACCAGCTTGGGGCAACATGGTGAGACCTCGTCTCTACAAAAAAAAAAAAAAAAAAAAAAAAAAAAAAAAAAAAAAAAAAAAGAATAATTAGCCAGAAGTGGTGAACATAACTGTAGATCCAACTATTTGTGAGGCTGAGATGGGAGGATCAACTGAGCCTGGGGAGGTCAAGAATACAGTCAGCTATGATCCTGCTGCTGCACTCCAGCCTGGGTAACAGAGAGAGACACTTTTAAAAAAAAAGGAAGAAAGAAAGAAAGAGAGAGAGAGAGAGACAAAGAAAGAAAGAAAGAGAGAAAGAGGGAAAGGAAGAAAGAAAGAAAAAGAAAAAAAGAAAGAGAGACAGGGAGGGAGGGAAGGAAGGAGGGAAGGGAAGAGAGAAAGAGAAAACTTCATGCAAGACTATGTTTTTGAAAACAAGCTATGTAAAAGTACGAAATGATATAAATTATCAATATGAATAAGAGTAAGAAAAAGAAGAAATTGAAAAGACCCTCTGGAAAAATAAGTTATGCTCTTATTCAAGATAATGATTATGAAGAAATGTTCAAATACTTATGCTATGATAAGGATGGTGTTTTTAAAAGTGGATAGTATTTTTTATAGTTTTTTAAGACTATATACTACACTAATATAGTCTTAAAAACTATAAAAAATACTATCCACTTTTAAAATCAACATCCTTATCATAGCATAAGGTGCTGGGAAAACTGGCTAGCCATATGTAGAAAGCTGAAACTGGATCCCTTCCTTACACCTTACACAAAAATTAATTCAAGATGGATTAAAGACTTACATGTTAGACCTAAAACCATAAAAACCCTAGAAGAAAACCTAGGCAATGCCATTCAGGACATAGGCATGGGCAGGGACTTCATGTCTTAAACACCAAAAGCATGGCAATAAAAGCCAAAATTGACAAATGGGATCTAATTAAACTAAAGAGCTTCTGCACAGCAAAAGAAACCATCAGAGTGAACAGGCAACCTACAGAATGGGAGAAAATTTTTGCAACCTACTCATCTGACAAAGGGCTAATATCCAGAATCTACAATGAACTCAAACAAATTTACAAGAAAAAAACAAACATCCCCATCAAAAAGTGGGCGGAGGATATGAACAGACACTTCTCAAAAGAAGACATTTATGCAGCCAAAAAACGCATGAAAAAATGCTCATCATCACTGGCCATCAGTGAAATGGAAATCAAAACGACAATGAGATACCATCTCACACCAGTTAGAATGGCGATCATTGAAAAGTCAGGAAACAACAGGGGCTAGAGAGGATGTGGAGAAATAGGAACACTTTTACACTGTTGGTGGGACTGTAAACTAGTTCAACCATTGTGGAAGTCAGTGTGGCGATTCCTCAGGGATCTAGAAGTAGAAATACCATTTGATCCAGCCATCCCATTACTGGATATATACCCAAAAGATTATAAATCATGCTGCTATAAGGACATATGCACACGTATGTTTATTGTGGCACTATTTACAATAACAAAGACTTGGAACCAACCCAAATGTCCAACAATGATAGTCTGGATTAAGAAAATGTGGCACATATACAACAAGGAATACTATTCAGCCATAAAAAATCATGAGTTCATGTCCTTTGTAGGGACATGGATGAAGCTGGAAACCATCATTCTCAGCAAACTATCACAAGGACAAAAAACCAAACACCGCATGTTCTCACTCATAGGTGGGAATTGAACAATGAGAACACATGGACACAGGAAGGGGAACATCATGCACCGGGGACGGTTGTGGGGTGGTGGGAGGGGGGAGGGATAGCATTAGGAGATATACCTAATGCTAAATGATGAGTTAATGGGTGCAGCACACCAACATGGCACATGTATACATATGCAACTAACCTGCACATTGTGCACATGTACCCTAAAACTTAAAAAAAAAAAAGACTATACTAGTGCAGTATATATACTATATGTATGTGTGGGAGAGGGTGTATATATATATACATATATACTTAAAATCTGTAAATTTTCCCAATGAATTATAATAGCTCTTGAGAGCAAGTTTTAGGTTTTGTTCCTTTTCTAAGCCACACTTCCATGCTGCTTTGCACAAAGAAGGCATTCTACAGATGCTTTTCAAATAAATCATGTCATTGAAACTGTAAATTAATATAAATGTTTTGCTTGAAAAGCTACTATCCTCCTAAGTGACCATCCAGCACGTACTATATTTAAATTATCAGCAAGTTTTCATTTTAGGCTAGTCTTTTCAGAAGTAAAATAAATAAATCAATAAAGGAGAAAATGTGACAAACCTATGGTAACATACTATAAGTAGTGACCCTCTGCACCATGCGGAACTGACCTGAAGAGGAGGGGCATGATTAGTGTGTACACTGCCACAAGCTGAGCTACAAATTCATCTCGAGTGCATGTTGGAAAATGCGTTTCTTAGATGTGATGTAAATTGCATGAGTCTTGTAGTATTCTGACAATGCAAAAACCTGTGACATCTTAAAGAATTAAGCAATATATTCACAGAATGAAAACACATAAGTGCAGCTGCCTATGTGAGAAAGATATATTACAGAATATTCCTGTGAATAGATGAGATAGTAGATGGATGTCTTATATATATATATGTATATATATATATATATGTGTGTGTATATATATATATATATATATATATGTATATATATATATGTGTGTATATATATACCTAAGCCAACATAAATGAAAACCTTTCTGCAGGAACATATGTATCTATTTATGTCTTCATAAGTGTCCAGACAGACTTCACATCCCACTCCCTCAGGACACACAATTGGAATTACACAAACAGCATAAGAACCAAATAAGTAAAACCAGCGTTCTCAGAGCTGACTATCATTAATCACTAATGATGTCGGGTCCGTGAATACCTGGCTTCAACAATAAAACAGATCATGCATTCTACAAGCAGACAATGAATTTTCTAAAGAAAAATAACCTCCCTTAAGGATACAGAGACTCCATAAAGACCAAATGAAGCCGATGATAAGTAACCTGGCCAAAAGATCTGGATGACGACATCAGTGGTCATTTCACTACCCTTGAAACTGATATTTTCTAAAATACATATTTTTTAAATAACAGAGAATCATTAAAAGTTGATAAATGTATAAAATACAGGCTACTTAGCTGATACTTTCTTTGGTACATCTCCTTGGGTCTGAAGACATAGTTTAGCAGTTAACCCTTCAGGAACCATGCTGAGAAAATATCTCTTATGATGAATATCTTGATTTGTTTTACAACTAAAAAGGTAATTTATAGCATGAAGTCTTATTGGGCTGTTAAGACACATGGAATAAATACTAAACTAACATACATGATGAGTTACATTTTGTCAAGGAGCTGGAGTTGCTGAAAATTATGCAGGCTCCAATTGGGATAACTCAGTCAGCATTTTTACCCTCACGGTAGAATGGAACATCAGTGTTCACCATCAAAAGAGTAAGCCTAAATTATGATGATATGGCTCACTATATATGATCTTGGCTTTCTCATTTTACTTTTAATAGAATTCATTTCTTTCTTATGTTTAAAATAAGGAGACAGAATTTGCATGGTTCAAAAAATATACAACCTGCCATATGTTATCATCTTATGCAATAAAGGAAACCTTGTATGTGCCTTCTATTGTGAATTTTCTATAAAATAGGGCTACTGGCCAACATAAAGTAATATTTGGGTAATTAAAAGTACACATAAAACAAATAATGAGACAAACAGCACATAACAGATGCTAATAAGCCAATTATTCTCTTTTGAATGCAAAGGTAAAAATCACACAGACTACAGCAGATGTGCCTGTTGGGGAAGGTAGAATAAGGATGCTAAGACTTAGAAAGAAACATAAGAAAACATTTTCAAGGGCTGGAACTGGGGCATTGCTCATTTGCACTCAGACTAAAAGACAGTTCTAACGAAGCAACCTGAGTGGGCTGCTTCAAGGAGTCAGCTTTCCTCAGTGTCTTCACCTCTTCTGACTGGCCCGTTCCAGGGTGGAGTGGCCAGCTCCCTCTTGGTGGCACTCAGACCTGAAGGTGTCAGGTATGCAGGGTTTCAATCCAAACATACACAGCCTCCTAGTTTCTCCACCATGATTTTTGACTCCTGTCTAGCCAGAGCCATTCTACTACTGGGTCTTCTGTGTTTCACACTGACTATCCCATTGAGAGTGGTGGATTGGTTTTACCAGCCTGCTTCCTCGGTGGACTGGGATCTCATAGCTGACCCTCTGTAGATGCTGGTCAGAAGAGTCACCAATGTCTTAAGCCCAAATTCCTGGTCTAATTAAATAGGGACAGATTCACAAGCTTTTTTAGTTCCCGCAGTGGCTTTACTATTGCAGCAATATTTCCACAGTGCTCCAAAATAACTATATGACTGCTTACATTTATTAAGTCGCTAAGTCCAAAAAAAATTTAAGTATTTCTATCCTAACCACTTAGGGCATCCTTGAAAAAATCATACACATAACATAGGTTGAAAGAAAACTAATATTCAGTTTTATTGTTAAGTAGTTGTAATTATTCAATAATGGGAGATGTTCACCTGTGGGCATTGCATGACTTCTTGATCCTTATTTCTTGATGCACATTGATTTTGTTATACATAGTTTTATCACAGCAACCACCAAAACCCCCTCTTTGCAAAGATGTGAAGTCACCAAAGGGAAAATTCGACAAATTTTGTTGAATTTATTCTGAGGTTTACATACAGAATCCCAAATGCGGACCGGGAGTGTAACTGTATTAGTCAGGGTTCTCTGGAGGCACAGAACTAATAGGATAGCTGTATACATGAGGAAGAGTTCATTAAGGAGTTCTGACTCACACGATCACAAGGTGAAGTCTTACAATAGGCTGTCTGCAAGCAAAGAAGCAAGAAAGCCGGTCCAAGTCCCAAAACCTCAAAAGTTGGGAAGCCGACGGTGCAGCCTTCAGTGTGTGGTCAAATGTCCAAGAGTCCCAAAGGTGAAGAACTTGGAGTTTAATACTCAAGGGCAGGAAGCAACCAGCATGGGAGAAAGATGGAGGCCAGAAGAATCAACTGGTCTAGTCCTTCATGTTCTTCTGCCTGCTTTTATTGTAGCAGCCCTAGCAGCTGATTAGATGGTGCCCACCCAGACTGAGGGTGGGTCTGCCTCTCCCAGTTCACCGACTCAAATGTTAATCTCCTTCAGTAACACCCTCACAGACACATCCAGGAACAATACTTTGCATCCTTCAATCAAGTTGACATTCAATATTAACCATCAAAATAACCTTACATTTAGATAGATCCTACCAAAAACAAACTAAAAAAGAAAAAAGAAAAACAAACACACCACCAAAAAACAGTTTCTTGAGTGTGTACTGTCAAATCCCTGATGTTTGTACCATCATTGGGAGCAGAGGTTGTGTACTGAGGAGGAGGGGGTGTGTTGGAGAAAGAGTCACAATCTTCTTCTGCTGTGTATTTCCACCAATTGCTGCCCTACATACCCTTCCAGATGAGACATCTTGTGGGGGGAGGATGCTGTGACCAGCAAGCCAACCCGATAGTGCCCCCATAGACTTGGCCATTTATTTCCCACTCAGGCAATGACATTGTTGAGCCAACAGAGTGGTCCAACTAATGCCAGGATGATCTGAATCACGCTCAAAGCTCTATGGTGATTTCCTTGATATATGGTCTAAATTTAATTCCATGTAATACATCTCATAAAATCTGTGTTTAAAAATACCCTGCCATTTTATCATCCTGCTATCAAGCTTGCTGCAAGTGAGCCTCTACATTTTTTAATAAGGAAGCATAGTGCTGGCAGTAATACCACAGCGAGAGTCCAGAACACTATGCCAGTGTGCTGGAATTTCTCAGAGGTGCAATTTTAGGCAACAAATGTGTTTGCAGAACCTGAGGGGAAAAAAACAACCACAGGAAAATGAAAGAGTAAAATTCTTAATACAAGAATGATTATAAGTTGGAAGCATTGAAGGATGCATACCTATGATTGTTAGCTGTTATTTTAATTGTAGATCAAAATAAACATTAAAAATAAAAGAATGAGAACTATGTGGGTATTAGAGAAGCATATTGGATTGACCTGCTGTTCCTGAGTTGGGGGCATAAATAGGGCAGGTAGCAGTTATTCACTAAGTCCCCATTGTTGGGGAGCAATTGCTGCAGAGGTTGTGGGTCAGAGCTCTGTCGTCACATGCGATCTGTCTATTGTCCTGTCTCTGTATTGTCTCTCAGCAGTGATTAACTCTCAAGAAGATCTCAGGGGTTGTAGCTCAAATTAAAGTATCATAAAGATGTACGATAAGAAAGCAGGAGAAATGAAGAGCCTAATTTCACTTTTAAGTGCCTATTCAGTTACAAGAACTACTCATGGCACTTATTTTTATGTATTGAAACTGAAAAAGAAAAGATATAGATTATTGATCCTAAACTGAGGTGGAGGTGTAGACTCGGCACATTTAATAGTTTGTCCAGGAACATAGATAGTAAACGGCAAAGCAAGGGTTTCACAAGTGTTGGTTTTATCTGGAGAAGCGTGGGGCCTTTAAGTTACTTTTAGTGCTATCATAAGACTAGAGTATAATTCTCTCATGAGAATATTAGCATCAAGGTATTAACATACTTTATGAGTAATAAATCACCCAACTCAGGCTTTCTTCAACAACAAAAGGGATTTTCACTACAAAGTGATGTCCACGAAGGGTTGGATGAGTCCAGCAGTACACGGAGTTCATCCATGGAGATGCCCTGACCCTCAGGGTCTCCCTGGGCTGATGGCTCTTCCTCGTGGCTCCAACAGCATCCGTGACCTTCGGGGGCTGCAGGCTTCCTCATCTATGGAGAAGAAGGAGATGGAGACAATATTTAATGACTAGAAGTTTTATTTTACTTTTTTTGGTAATAATAACTTTTATTATTATTTTGCTTCAGTATGTCTTGACTCACTACCAGTTCCTTCTTCATCTATGAAAAATAATATTACTCATTCCTCCAAAAAATGCATTAAAGTACTAGGGTATTACACATAAACTGAATACATTCAGGTCAGCTTTAATCAGAATTATAAAATCAGCAACATAAATAAAATGCAAGATCGTGCAAATTTTAACATTTGTCAAAAAACATAGTCCTCATTGTTTATATAATGTGTTGGCTTGAACACTTTTTCTCTGCAGAGATTATGATCCCTGCTTTTGTTTCCATTTGCATTTGCTTGTAGGTACATCCTTCTTCCTTTTTCTTTGCTGATGCAATCTTCCCCATAGTTGGTATATTCCTTGAGTCATGTTAATAAGAGGAAGTTTATACACTCACATATATGTCACCATTTGACTAAGAGCCCCTTATGTTTGTTTGTGACAAATTACCATCAGTTAGTATATGGGCAATTTATGGTGGTGATGAGAACAAACCTGGGAAGGATATGGTTTGAGGTTTATAAAGTAAGCTTACCTAATGTTGGTTGTGACTAATAAATCAACGTTTAATGCTCCACTATCAAATACTAATTAATTCTTTCTTTCCTCCTTCATATTAATTTCGTGTCATTCCAAGTCTTCAGGGGAAAGTGTTTGCAGCTTGAAGCAAGAACACTCTTATGCCTTGCCAGAGAATTTTATTAATTGCAGTAAGTGCAGTGGCTTTGGACACCCGAATTTAAAAAAGAAAAATGATTTTGGAAGACAATTCTCCCCTATGGCAAATATGATATTTTAGGATCTCAATAAATCCTTTGGAACCTAATGGAAGTAATTTTCTCATATCTTTTTTGGTACTCAGATACTCTGGTAATCCAATTACTAAGACCCTTGTATTCCAACACTCATATTAAAAGCAACTTCAAAATACAAAATAAAATAAATTCAACAAATTTGTTCAGAGACCTAGTCATTATATGATATTTCACTCCGATGGCAAAGGCTATATTTGCACCTAATTGATATTCATAGAGGGCTAAAATACCCATTTACCTATTTAAAATTCTGGTAGCCAGCTGAATCTTGTATGTACAATTATAAATATATGTTTTGGATATTTTAATTTGTTCTGAGTTTAGTGATTTAAAAGGTCCTCTATAAATCAGATGACAGAATCCTTTTTATGGGGGTGAGGGGGAAGGGTCTCACTCTGTCACCCAGGCTGGAATGCAGTAGTGCAATCAGGGCTCACTGCAGCCTCGACCTCCCAGGATCAGCTGATCCTCCCACCTCAACCTCCTGAGTACCTGGGACTATAGGCACGCACCATCACACCCAGCTAATTTTCTTTTTGTACTTTTTGTAGAAAAGGGATTTTTCCATGTTGCCCTGGCTAGTCTCGATCTCCTGGGCTCAAGTGGTCCATCCACCTGGCCTCCCAAAGTGCTAGGATTGCAGGTGTGAGCCACTGTACCCAGGCCTGATGGAATCTTTTTTAAACAATATGGTATGGTGAGGAATTAAATAGAAAGTCACATTACTGTACAGCTTTGATGGCTGATAAATGCTAGGTGAAACTGCACTTTGTGGATTCATCATTTTTTGTGCCAGGCAGAAAATGTGGACACAGATACACTCCTCCTGCTTTCTTCTGTGTATGTTATAGAAGATGACAGTAAGTGGTAGAATGGATGGAAGACCCTAGTGTGGTAAGTCTTGCTTAAATGCCCGTGTGTGTCTACAATAATACAGGCCCTCTGACTCCTGGACTCAACACTAGGAGTTGAGGAGGGATTACCTCCATGGAGAGGCATAGCTTGCTCCAATATCTTGAGTCAGAAACAGAACAGCCCTGGGTTGTTGTCTTCCCAAACACTAGCTTTCAGGTGTGTCAATTTTTCAATCCTCATTGGGTTTTTTCAAAGAGTTCAGAATTTTAGGGGTGTGTGAAAGTTCTTTGACATCACAATGTGATGAAAGCACTCTTTACTTTAGTCTCTGTCAAGATGTGGAATGAACCAGGGAGTTCCCAGGGTCTGCTCTTCCACTGGGGAGTGGAAGAGAGATATCCTGTTCAAGGCTGGTTCAGCCACCAGCTAGATTCAGGAGCCCTGACTCCTGATGGAATGGTGAACCAGGGTGGAAACCAGGACATGAAATAAGGCTGCAGAAACTACGTGCTGAAAGGAATATAGTTGTGTGGGGAATCTAGTATGTCAACATCACCAGTGTAGCGTTTACTGCATGGTAAGAATTAAAGCACCTTTCAAATCTCTTAAAATTTTGGGCAGGGAAAAACACACCTACTCAGCAAATTGGGCTCAGTGTGTGTAAAGCTTAGAGAATAATCCACAGTTACAAAAGCTACTGGCAAGCGTCACCATGCCTCTTAAAAGACAAGCTGTGAAGGTCACTATAGGCATTCACATTGCTAGGAACTGTTCACTTTAAAACTAGATGCTCAAATAAATCAATTCTGTTAGAAACCTTCACAAAGGCTGGGAAAAACATAAAGCCCAGATCAAACTTTCCTTTAGGTTGTATTTTAGATTGCTGACATAAAACTATGTGAAAATGTTTCCCCTTTTCCCCTTTTTAGCATGTGTTTTATTAGTGAAGTAGAACTTAAGAGTTCCCCAGACATTATACAGAACTATATATATTGGGTACATGTGTCAGTACCTCTAAATACCCATAGAAATTTTTACTTAGCAACATTTTCATGTTCCTCTCAAATTCCTACAATTATACACGTCAAAACAATTCTTGTTTCTTAAGGGAATTCTCTCTAAATCTAAATGTATTAAGAAAAAGTTAGTATTTCCAGCAACTGTGGGTTACATTAAAAATAGGGACTCCAGGGGGAAATTTTGAGCTCAAAAGGTCTCTATCTCATGGCTTTATACTGCATTTAGGAAGCAATATATAAAATACATTGTAAAAATTTCTAGCACATTTTTTGGATCTTTTTATAGCACTTAGCACTACATGCCAGTAATAAATATGTTTACGTCCCTATCATTTCCTCTACAAGGGTATAGGGGCTTACTGTTAGTGTTTTTGATTCATTTTCTTTCTATCCCTTTTGAAGCAGCTTTTCAAACAGTATGTTCCTTGATGTTAACAAGTTAAGAGGAATAAAGAGCTGCAGTTCATGTAAGCACAGGAAAACTGAGCTAACAAAAATTTAAATAGTTTTTTTTAAAATTGGTGTCCTCTGACACTTCAAAAGTTGGATAAATTCTGAAGTAAACCCTAAACTTACCTGATTATCTGTTACTGTTTTACCATTGCCACAGTAAAGATAGAGACTATTTCCTTCATCCCACAAAGACTACTCTGTGCTCTCTGTAATCATGCTCTTCTCCTTTCGCAAGCTTACAGAGTCCTTCCTTGCTCTGTCCTCTGTGCATATAGAATACTATTGCCGTTTTTAGAATGTAATACTAATGGAATTACAGGGCATCCTCTTTTGTGCCTATCTTCCTTCACTGAGGAAAATATTTTTGATATACTTGTCATTGATAAAAATAAGACATTAGCTTTTATTACTGAATACTATTCTATTATGTGAAGAGACCACGATTGGTTTATCTATTCTTCTATAATAGTAACCGGGCATGTAGGTAGATTTCAGTTTCCACCGTTATCTATTAAGTATTAATCTTAATCTTCTAGTAAGAATTAAACTATTACATCCAAAGCTTTTATGTACAAGCCTTTATTGACTGAATTTTCTTTTCTTTTTTTTTTAGTAAATGCCAAGAGGTAGAATTGTTGAGTAATGTACTAACTATATGTTTATCTGCGTGAGAAACTTCAAGATCATCTTTCATTCCCACAAGCAATGTGTGAGACTTTCAGCTCCACATCTTCATCGACGTTTTTAGTAATTCTATGCTCTTTGAACATTTTATTTCAGAAATTCTATTTTTTAGTTGTAGAATTTCCATGTGATCCTACTTTTCTGTTTCTACTCTTTATACTTCTTGTTTCTCATTCATTGGGAACAATGTTTTGATTTAGTTATTAAAAATAAATATAATGGCTGCTTCAAAATTGTTACCATTAATTGAAATGTCTGGTTCATCTCAGGCTCAGAATCAATTGTTTTTCTTTTCTCCTGAGAATGTGTTCCATTTTCCTGATTCTGTGTATGCCTGGTAACTTCGGATTATATCTGTCGTGTCGTGAATATGAATGAGGAGATTCTGGCCTCGTTAGGTTTCTCTGATGGGCATGGTTTCTTGTGTCTCCGCAGATCATTTCCGGGTAACCTCGGACTATATCTGCGATGTCGTGAACATGAATGTGAGGAGATTCCGGCTTCTGTTAGTTTTCTCTGATGGGCATAGCTTCCTATGTCTCAGCAGATCATTTCCGGGTAACCTCGGACTATATCTGCGATGTCGTGAACGTGAATGTGAGGAGA